>NC_000006.12:96888971-97040486 GCF_000001405.40 Homo sapiens | reverse complement strand
CTCATGCCCACTTGAATTTGAGAACCACTCAGCTATTCAGTGCAAGTGAATTTGCCCCCAACCAATTCTCCAAATGGCCAATTTACTGCAAATCAGTATGTCAAATGAAAATTTGAAATTAAAAAGACAAAAACTTGACAAATTAAAACAAATGCATTTTAAAAGGAAAAAAAAAATACAACCCCATGCTAATTTGTGCACCTTTAATCTTTGACTTAAGAAATATAAAGAGAATTCAATTTTGTTTACTGATAATGAGAGAAGTTTTGTGGGAACTGTTCCCTGAGATTCTGCAGTTTAGCTAACTTTATAGTCATAAAAAACAAAACCAAAAAAACCTCACTATGCTATGTGGTATTTAGTTCATGCTGAATTTTTTTAATTTGAAAAATGTGATTTTTTTTTTACTTTTGCCAATGTATCAATATTCATCTTTTAGCAATTTTATTTATTTATTTAAATTTTATCAATGCCTAAGGAATGTACATATTTCAGGGGTACATATGATAATTTAATATAGTCTTAATTTTTAATTGCCAAATCAGTGTATTTGAGATATCTATCACCTTAAAATATCTTTTCTTTATGCTTAAAACATTCAAATTATTCTCTTCGAGCGATTTTCTTTTCTTTCTTTGTTTTTTGTTTGTTTGTTTGTTTGTTTTTTGAGATGGAGTCTTACTCTGTCACCCAGGCTGGAGTGCAGTGGCACAATCTCAGCTCACTGCAACCTTTGCCTCCCAGGTTCAAGTGATTCTCCTACCTCAGCTTCCCGAGTAGCTGGGACTATAGGTGCCCGCCACCACTCCTGGCTAATTTTTGTATTTTTAGTAGAGATGGGGTTTCACCATATTGGCCAGGCTGGTCTTGAACTCCTGACCTTGTGATCCGCCTGCCTCAGCCTCCCAAAGTGCTGGGATTACAGGCGTGAACCACTGCGCCCGGCTGTCTTCTAGCTATTTTCAAGTGTACAATAGATTACTGTAAACTATAGTCACTCTACTGATCTAACACTAGCTCTTATTTCTTCTATTAAACTGTATATTTGCACTCATTATTCAATATCCCCATCATCCTCCCCCTCCCTACGACCCTTCCCAGCCTACTGGGTAGGGTAACCACCAATCTACTCTATGTCTTCATGAGATTCACTTTTTTTAGCTCTCACATATGAGTGACAACTTAACAATATTTGTCTTTTTGTGCTAGGCTTAGTTCACTTAACATAATGACCTCTAATTCCATCCACATTGCTGCAAATGACAGGATTTCATTTTTTTATGGCTAAATAATATTTCTTTGGGTATATATACCACATTTTCTTTGTCCATTCATTCACTGATGAGCACTTAGTTAATTCCATTTTCTTTTTCTTTTTTTCTTTTTTTTTTTTTTTTGAGACAGAGTCTTGCTCTGCCACCCAGGCTGGAGTGCAGTGGCATGATCTCAGCTCACTGCAACCTCCGCCTCCTGGGTCCAAGCAATTCTCCTTCCTCAGCCTCCTGAGTAGCTGGGGCTACAGGCACGTGCCACCATACCCAGCTAATTTTTGTATTTTTAGTAGAGCGGGGTTTCACCATGTTGGCCATGCTGGTCTCGAACTCCTGACCTCAAGTGATCCACCTGCCTCAGCCTCCCAAAGTGCTGGAGTGCTGGGATTACAGGTGTGAGCTACTGCACCCAGCCCAATTCTAAATTTTGACTATTGTGAACAGTGCTACAATAAACATGGGAGTGCAGATATACTGATTTCCTTTCCTTTGGAGATATATATAGATATATAGATATATTTATATATATACTGATTTCCCTTCTTTTGAATATATACTCAGTAGTAAAATTGCTGAGTCATATGCTAGCTACATTTTTAGTTTCTTGAGGAACCTCCATACCATTCTCCATAGTGGCTGTACTAATTTATTCCCGTCAACAGTGTACTAGGGTTCCCCTTTCTCCATATCATTGCCAGAATCTGTTATTGCCTCTCTTTTTGATAAAAGCCATTTTAACTGGGGTGAGGTATTTCAGTGTAGTTTTGATTTGCATCTTCTGATGCTCAGTGACCTTCAGCATTTTTTTAAATATATCTATTGGACATCTGTATATCTTCTTTTAAGAAATATCTATTTTTGCCCATTTTTAAATTGGATTTTTTTTTTTTGCTAGTGAACTGTTTGAGTTTCTTATATATTCTGGTTATCAATCCCTTGTCAGATGGTAGTTTACAAATATTTGTCCCCATTCTGTGGGTTTGCTCTACACTTTGTTGATTGTTTCCTTTGCTGTGTAGAAGCTTTTTAGCTTGATGAAATTCCATTTGTCTATTTTTGCTTTAGTTGCCTGTGTTTTTGGGGTCTTAATCCCAAAAAGCCTTTGCCCAGTCCAATGTCCTGGAGCATTTCCCCAATATTGTCTTCTAGTTATTTCATAGTTGGGGCCTTAGATTTAAGTCTTTAATACATTTGGATCTGATTTTTGTGTATGGTGAGAGATAAGGGTGTAGTTTCATTCTTCTGCATATAGTTATGCAATTTTCCCAACACCATGTATTAAAAAGACTGGCCTTTCCCCATTGTATGTTCTTGGCACCTTTGCAAAGATGAGTTGTCTGTAAATGTGTGGACTTATATTTGGGTTCCCTATTCTATTCCATTGATCTATGTGTCTGTTTTTATGCCAGTACCAGGCTAATTTAGTTACTATAGCTTTGTAGTACATTGTGATATCTGATAGTGTAATGTCTTTGTTCTTTTTGCTCAGGGTGGCTTTGGTTATTTGGGGTTTTTGTGGTTCCATTTATATTTAAGATTTTTTTCTATTTCTGTGAAGAATGTCATTGAAAATTTGATATGGATTGCATTGAATCTGTAAACTACTTTGGATAGTATTGTTATTTTAGCAGCATTAATTATTCCTATCCATGAATACGGAGTATCTTTCCCTTTTTTTGGCATCATCTTCTTTCATCAGTGTTTTATAGTTTTCCTTGTATAGATATTTTACTTCTTTGGTTAAATTGATTCCTAGGTATTTTATATTCTTTGTACTATTGAACTAATAGGATTTTATTTTAACAAATGTTATTTTTTTATCCTCACAAGTCTATACATTTTAAATTAATATGTATAAGATGGACAATATAAACTGATGACCCATTATTCCTTGTAGAGATCTTCATTTCCATCTCACTGCATTAGAGAGTTTTATGTTTTCATAATGAAAAGGATTATTTTTGAGAGCTTAATTTATAGTTAAACCTTTCACTGTTAGAAACACTAAATTATTGCTCTCTTGCCATTTAAGAAATTTTCTAAAATATATTTTAAATACAATTTGAAAAAATAAAATAATATTCAAAATATCTTAAAGCTATTGGGAGTATTTAACATATAATATATTCAATTATATTTGATATATTAAAAAGCTAACATTCATAATGTACTTAACTTTCAGAAATTTACTTTATCATAAATTTTAAAAATTGAACATTTTTTAGAACTGAGGATGTTCCACATAGTACAGCTTAGTGCCAACAGAAATTGCCTTGACCACTATATCCCCCCATAGGGGAAAAGAGCAGGAGGATTCCTACAGTCTTTGCTGCTAAAGATCCCCAGTCTTTACCAACACAAATCCCAGCTGACAGAGATGCCTGGAGCCCATGCCTTGCATCCCCTGGAGCTGGAGGGGGCCACTCTGGCACCCTGCACCCGGTACGGCTTCACATGAGCCCACACCTGGGTGTGATGTCACTTGTCTTACACCTGCACCAGGACCTGGCACCCCCATGCACCATGACAGTGTCACACAATCCCCAAAACCAGTGCCCCTGCACATTCCTCACAACTTGCACTGGACCCAGAACTACCACACAGCCCACCCATCATCACACCTCAGGTGATTATTTAAGAACCACCACACACCCCACCCATCATCACACCTCAGGTATCATCACATCTCAGGTGAAAGTCTTCCCCACCAAAGCCAGTCTGTAATATCTGAAAGATGTAACTGCTCCTTCAAATGCTCAGACACCAATGCAAGGCTACAAGGAACATGAAATGTCAGGGAAACATAACACCACTAAAGGAATATGATAATTTCCAGTAATGATCCCAAAGAAATGGGGACCTATGAATTGCCTGACAAAATTATTGTTTTAAGAAATTATCATTGAACACATATAGACAACTCAATAATATCAGGAAAGTAATACATAAACAAAAGGGAAAGTTAGAGAAATGTAAATTTTATGTAATACATAAATGAAAGGGAAAGTTAGAGAAATGTAAACCACAAAAATGAAGCAAACAAATTCTGAAGCTGAAGAACACAATAAATGAAATAAAAAAATGCGACAGAGAACTTCAATACCAGACTCGATCAAGCAGAGGAAAGAATTAGTAAACTTGAATACTGGTCGTTTAAAATTATCCAGTCAGAGGACAAAAAAGAAAAAAGAATAAAAAGGAGTAAAGAAAGCCTATGGATTTTATGGAACAATATCAAGTAAACCGATATAGATTATGAAAGCTTAATAAAGAGAAGAGAAATAGAAAGGAGAAGAAAGATTATTGAAAAGGAATAATTACCAAAAACATTCTAAATCAGGGAAGGAAGTGGACATCCAGATTGATTAACCCCAAAGAATCCTAAATAAGTTGAATACAAAGAGATCTGCACCAGGATACATTATAATTAAATTTCAAAAGTTAAAGACAGAGAATTTTGAAAGAAGCAAAAGAAAAGTGACTTGTCATGTATAAGGGAACCACCTCCATAAGACATCAGTGGATTTTTTTTTAGTAGAAATGTTGCAGGCCAGAAGAGAGTGGGACGACACATTCAAAATACTGAAAGAAAAAAACTGCCAAGTATACAATATCTGGCAAAACTATCCTTTAAAAATAAATGAAAGAGAAAGTCTTTCCCAGGGAAACAAAAACTGAGAGAGTTTGTCACTCCTAGACCTATTTTACACAAAATGGCTAAGGGGGTTCTTCAAATTGAAAACAAAAACATGCTAAACAGTAACGTGAAAGCATAAGAAAACATAAATCTCACTGGCAAAATTAAATATACAGACAAATATATAATAATGTAACACTGTAATGGTGGTGTGTAAGTTACTTTTACCCCAACATTTAAAAGATAAAAGACCAAAATTTGTTGATGGATACACAATATAAAAAGAATTAAACTCTGACTACAAAAACACAAAGTTTGGGGGAGGTGGTAAAAGTGTGGAATTTCTGTGTGCAGTTAAGTTGTTATGAACTTAAAATAGACCATTGTAACTACAAGACATTTTATGCCAGCCTTGAGGTAACCACACAGAAAAAAACTTATAATAGATATACAAAAGATAAATAGAGAAGAATCAAGGCAAATACTACAAAAATAATCAGATAACAAAGGAAGATGGCAAGAGAAGACGAGAGACCGCTTTTATTCAACTTAGTACTGGAAGTCCTACCCAGAGCAATTAAACAAGAAAAAGAAATAAAAAGCATCCAAATGGGAGAGGAAAAAGTGAAATTACCTCCACAGATAACATGATTATATACGTAGGAAACCCTGAAGATTCAACCAAAAAACAATGTTAGAACTAATAAATGAGTTTAACAAAGTTTTTTGGTGCAAAATTAACATACAAAAATCTGTGGTATTTGTGTACACAAACAGGAAAGTCATCAAAAAGAAATTTAAGAAAACCATCCCATTTACAATAACAAAGAAAATACTTAGGCATACATGTAATCAAAGAAGTAACAGACTTGTTAACTGAAAATTATAAAACATTGGTGAAGGAAATCAAAGACACAGATAAAATGGAAAGACATCCATGTCCATGGATTGAAAAAAATGTGTTAAAATGTTCATACTACCCAAAATGATCTATACATTCAACACAACCCCTATCAAAATTCAAGTGGCATTCTTTATAGAAATAGAAAAAAAAATGCTAAAATCAAATGAAACCACAAAAGACCCTGAATAGCCAAAGAAATCTTAAACAAAAAGAACATGCTGGAGGCATCACACTTCCTGATTTCAAAATATATTACAAAGCTACAGTAATCAAAACAGTATAGTACTGTCATAAAAACAGATATATAGACCAACAAACAGAATATCCCAGAAATAAATCCATGCATCTATGGTAAACTGATCTTTGACAGGGTGCCAAGAACACACAATAGGGAAAGGACAGGCTTTTCAATATACGGTGCAGGAAAAACTTGACATCCGCATGCCAAAGAATAGAATTGAACCCTTATCTCACATCATATGCAAAAATTAACTTAAATGTATTAATGACTTAAATGTAAGACTTGAAACAATACAGAAGAAAATGTAGGGGAAAAGCTCCTTGACATTGGTCTAAGCAATAATTTTTTGGATAAGACACCAAACTACTGGCAACAAAAGCAAAAATAAGTGGGCTTGCATCAAACTAAAACCTTATGCATACCAAAGGAAACATTCAACAGATTAAAATGGCAACCCACAGAATGGGAAAAATATTTGCAAGCCATATATCTGATAAAGGGTTAATATCCAAAATATTTAAGGAACTCAAAATTCAATAGCAAAATAAATAAATAATTAAATAACTGAATTTTAAAATGGTCACAGGATCTGAATAGACATTTTTCCAAAGAAGGCATACAAATGGGCAACAGGTATATAAAAAGATGCTCAACATCACTAATCATCAGGGAAAAGCAAGTAAAAACCACAATGAGGGGTCTCCTCACACCCGTTAGAATAATTATTACCAAAAAGACAGAAGATAAGTGTTGGTGAGGTTGTAGAGAAAAGGGAATCCTTGTTTATTGTTGGTTGTAATGTAAATTGGTACAGCCATTATGGGAAACAGTAGAGAGGGTACTAAAAAAAATTTAAAAAGAACTAGCTTATGATCTAACAATCTCACTTCTGGGTATGTATGCAAAGAAAATGAAATTAGTATCTTAAAGTGATAGCCACACTCCCATGGTTATTACAGCATTATTTACAATAGCCACAATACGGAAACAATCTTAATGTCCCTCAACGGATGAATGGATAAAGAAAATGTGAGACATACACACACATACGAACATTATTTAGCCTTAAAAAAGAAGAAAATCCTGCCATTTGCAACAATATGGATGAACTTGGACGACATTATGCTAAGTGAAATAAACTAGACACAGAAAGACAAATATTGAATGATCTCACTTATATAGGCATATGGTGGGTTTAGTTTCAGACCAACTTAATAAAGCAAATATCATAATACAGTGAGTCAGACATATGTTTTGGTTTCCCAGTACATATAAAAGTTATGTTGACACTATACTGCGGTCTATTAAGTATACATACAAAGTGAACAGTGCCTGACATATGGCAAGCTCTTAGTAAAATTTATATTTTGTGGTAACAATAAAATGTAGTGAAGTTTCTTTTATGTATTCCCTGGCTAAAAGGATTGATATGTTAGGAGAAGCACCAGTTTCTGTTGTTGTTTTTTTAAATCAAGTGTGGCTATAGATAAAAAAAAAAAAAAGCTAACAGGAAATTGCCTTTAGAGTTAAGTAGATTTTGTTTATGCATTTGCAGAAGATTACCCGAAATTCCAAAATTAAAAAACAGATCACAGTTAAATAAAAACCTTTAGTTTATAAAATGTTGAATTTGCTTCTGAACTCCTTGAAAGAACCTGAAAGAAATTTCAGTTGTTTTCAGTGTCTGCTTTTTATTACATGAGTGGTTAAGTTTTTAACATTCCCCACACCAACCAAGTTCTTTTTTCAGATCTTCCAAGTTGTAATTGCCCCTGATGTGCTGACGGCCTGCTTGCCACCAATCCCGTATATACAGCAGGACTCAAAATAGCTTAAACTGCAGAAGAATGATCTGGGTTAATGAAATGGAAAAACTTCCTGAGAACAAAGGTTAAAAAAACAAAATAGGCTGCCAAAGGAGTTTTAAAAATCGACATTTCTAGGGTCTTTCAAAAGTAATCAGGATAACACTGGCATAGAATAGGGATCCTCATCAGAGAGTTAGTAGAGTTGGGAGGAAAACACAATTCCTTAAATAATGTATATCTATATTTGCACGTTTGTATGAGCAATAAAGGAACACCATATTGGTAATCATTTTATATCAATACAATTAAATGCATCTATAATTGCTATATTATAGAGTACGATTGTAGAGGGAAAAAAGAGACTTAATTTTATCCTGTTTACGTAAGTATCTTTTGGATCACTGCAATGAACATGTATTACTTATGTATTTCAAACAACTCCCTTTTAAAAACTTTATTTTTAATGTTCAGAACTATGCAGGAAGATACATCTGGTTCTATAAACTACTAGTCATGTGGGCAATTTATCTTGAAACTTTGGCTAATTTGTTACCTTCTCTGAGCCTCAGGCTCTTTATCTGTAAAATGGGAATAATACCAACTTCACAGGGTTGTTATAGGTTTAAATACAATTATGCTTAATGTTAGGCATAATATGTGGCACATAGTAAATGTTATATAGAAACTGTCGCTATAATCCAGGTTGATGGTCTTACTGTCCCATGTCTCCCTTTGACTCCAATTGAAACGAGAGCTGAGAAACAGCACCCTCCACTCAACTGCTGACTAAATCCATTCATTTCAAATAGTTTCCAAATGACAGTCTCACTCTAAATCCCTATCTCTGGCTTCAGGACTTTACTTTTGCAACATACTCCTAGACTTCTACTTTATGGAATGACCCCATTATAAAAATCATCACCACCACTTCTATAAATACAGAACTTCCACTTTGACATCACATCATACTGTTTTAGAAAGTTAACATTGCCAGGCACCGTGGGTCATGACTATAATCCCACCACTTTGGGAGGCTGAGGCTAGAAGTTCACTTGAGGCCAGGAGTTTGAGACCAGGCTGGGCAACATAGGAAGACCCTATCTCTACAAACAATAAAAAAAAATTAGCTGAGCATGGTGGTCTGCACCTGCAGTCCCAGCTACTCAAGACGGTGAGGCAGGAGGATCACTTGACCCCATGAGTTTGAGGCTGCAGTGAGCCATGATCACACCACTGCACTCCAGCTTGGGCAAAAGAGTGAGACTCTATCTCAAAAAAAAAAAATGTTAAAAACTTAATGCTTATAATTTTTAAAAACTAGAACTAATCTAAAGATTAAAAAAGGGGAACTATTATATCAAGGTCAATGTCTTGGGTATAATACATTTAAAAGATATCTCAATTAGGAAGAGCCTCATTGGATACCACTTGGTGATAAGGAAGAACTTGGCCATTTGGTACAGTGAAACACCAGTTGCCTAGTCTATCCAAACTAGTGAAACAATGTCCAGAGACCTGCTAGAAACCAGGAGGAAGGTCAAAGTCTCCTTGGCAGCAAAAGAGGTGATGAGACCAGCAGTAATATTTTTAAGCATATAACATCTTGAAAAGGTAGAGTGCAGGCTCCATGAAGGCAGGTGCCATATCTCCTTTTCTCACTGTGGTGCTCCCAGATTCTAGGAGTGCATACATGCAATAAATACAGAAAATGAATGAATCAACCAATATCATCTTCAAAACTCATCTGCAGATGATGTCCTACCACCCTACAGTGTCATAAACAAAAAGAATTCATTCTATGTAACAGAAATGTTCTGCATGTAAGGTGTTTTAGATACCAAAATGTAAAATCGTAACTAAAGAGAAAGAGCATCTACTGTAAGCTAAACATTTGAGAAACACAAGTGAGTTCAAAGCTAGACATTTAGAAAAAAAAGAACATATGTCAATGTTCTCTATCAAGTCACAACATTCTGCCAAAGCATGGGATAAAGTTCTGCTTAGAAATATGAAAGCATTGCACAGACTCATGCTTGGTTCACAAGATTTTGTCTTTGGGAGAGCCTCGGCCAGGCTGAGATTTACAGTCATCACAGCTCATTTGTGGCTGATAATGTGCTGCCACCAACAACAAACCTTTCTAATTGAAAACCTAGTTTGTGAGTATATAATCCACTTTAAGTGCCTACCACAGAGGGAGGTGTGGATTTATGGTGTGTTATTCCCTCTTTATTTCACACAGAAGTGATGCAAATTGAGTCCTAAAATCACAGTATGTGACGTTTTCTTGAGTCATGTTACTTGTCATGCAGACACAAGATTAGTTACAGCTACATTTTAGGGTGGTACCTTACGACACAAAACTGACAAAAATTCTACTACATCTTCATAGATAAGTAAAATGGCAGATGATAGACTTTTTAAAGCATCTGGTAAAATATGATCTTTTTACCTGGCAAACTATGTGCAGCTTTGGAGTTACTCTGAACACAGGCAAAACCACTGCGACTCCCATTTTATCAAGAATACAAATAATCTTACAGGTGAAATAACTGAATTGTTTGGAGGTACATTCAACCCTTACATTTTATAAGCATTAAACAGAGTTAAATGAAAGTAAAAAGACATGTTTAAGGAAGTCATTGAAAAGAGCAACTCGCAATGATTACAGTAGATCCATTACATCTTACATCTTCTATATGCCCACTGTTACATAATTAATGATGTTTACAATGGCCATGAGGCATTACAGAGATTTGAACTAACTTCTGAATCAACAAAGATTACATTTTGCTCAATTTAGTGTTAATGGTTATTAGCCTTTATTACATTTTGGTTACACCTCACATATAGAATGGGTAGTAAATCTCAGTTAATGAGACCATTCAATTAACTGCAATAGTCCATTCCCTTCCATTAGGGAGAGGAGGGTCCCAATCACAGTTAAATTGGACTATTTACCTCCTTTATCTTGCAAATGAAAAAAATAACCCAATCCACCTGGAGAGCTAAATGGTATGAAAGAGTGAGGATGTTTGGTTGGTGGTTTTCTTTCCTCTTTACAATTGTTTTAATTTTTCCTCCCATAGTATAATAATACTGTCAGAGAATAAAATATCACAAGACAAACTAAAACAGTAAAATTATATTACTGTAAATATAATTAGGCAACACAAATTAATATCTGTAAAATACCAATTTTCCCTCACCTTAACCACATAAAGATCCATCTTATATGCTAAAAATTATGTTACATATTGTTTTTTTTCTAAAATCTTCAAATATGTAGCTTGTTTATTTAAAGGATCTAGCTGCATTTCACAGCTTTGCTCTTGGCACAGTTGCTTCCTAAATTAACTATACAGTGATAATGAGCTCTTCAAAACAAGCATCATTATGGTTTATCCTGTCTGTTTAGAATTCTCCTCCTCTTGAATGTGGCCATGTTTCAACGACCTGGGTCTTCTGGGAGAGGAAAGGGTGGAATAAAAAAAGGACACAAATCAAGTTGTTTCTTAGCCAAAGTTATGGTAATTGTGAAGGCCAGAAACTGCTGCTCACCATGCAGTTGGGTAACTCACAAAATTTGTCCTTGCCAGTCTTTCTGTCTTCTGGAAAGTGGCATCCACACATTTGACTTCAGCCTTGGGTTGCCCTCTCAGATCCCTATGGTTCTCCTTATTCCTCTGGTAGTTCTGTTACTTTCTAATTGTATCCCCTGAACGTGGGATCACAATACATTCCTACCCACCATACAAAGAAGTCCATTGTTTTATCTATCACAAATTTGCCTCTTTCAGATGTTTAGGGATGGCACTTTTACGCTTTCTTATTGAATACATTTGCTAAACCATTATTGAATGAATCGAATTAATTGAAGAGGCTGTTTGATCTCTCGCATATGGCAGCCAATGGCACAATCCTGCTCTTCACAAACTTCTAAGGACACCCCAACTGAGACATAACCTAGATTTCCTGAATTTTGACAGCTGTCCTAAGACAGAATTTGGGGCTTGCACGAAGGAATGACTGAGCAGTTGTGATTAGAGTCTGCATGGATCAGAGAAAATATGAAAAAAGGAAATTTATTTAGAGAACAGTGATATCAGAAAAGGTTGAAAGCCTGCAGAAAGAAGTGAAGCAACTGAGGAGACAGAGAGGGGGATTCTTTACTGAGGAAAATATGATAGGAATTCAGGGAGAATTCTCTAAGACCAGAAGAGACTCCTGTGTGGTTTTCAAAGCTGTGCTGGGTGTGTGTAAGAAGCAAGACTAAACTCTAGCCTCTCTTCTGCAAATAGAATTTTGGAATGTTAACACTTTAGAGATCACTGGCCCTTCCCTACTTAAGGTGTGGTCCCTGGAATAGCAGCATTGGTATTGCCAAGGAACTTGTAAGAAATATAGAATCTCGGCTCCTACCCGACACTTACTAGATGGGAAAGCTGAGTTTTAACGAAAGCCCCAGGTGAACCACATGCACATAAATGTTTGAGAAGCACAGCTGGGGTAGTCAGTCCTCCCCGCCTTGCAGCACTCCTTGCATACTTGAATACTTGAAGTGATGAGACACCTAATATTTTTCATGACAGGCTGTCCCTTGCTGGAGAAATATTAGTAAAACCTTCAAAATATTGACTTCCAATCACCCTCTTGATAGCTTTCTCCCCTTGGTCATAGGAGAAGGTCAATGAGTTCACTCTCTTTTCTGCTTAATAGCCTTTCAAATATATACAGTAACAGCTCTAGAGTCTCCTACTGGAAATAGTATCTAATCTGAATTCTCGGAGTCATAAAATGTTAGTGCTTGAAGCCAATGCTCGAAGTTTTGTAGGCTGGGCAGAAGGCCTGAGTCCAAATCCCAGCATGGGAGGACTGATCCCTAGATTTGGAGGGGTGGGAGTGTTTACTATACAGAAAATAAAAGGTATTTCAAAAGAAAGAAAGTGGATTCAAGGACATGGTCTTTGAAAGAGTAAATCATCCTAAGCTTGTGAATGGTGGCAGTGGTAAGAACTTTCAGGAAAATCTTTCACACTGTCTCCCTTTTCCCCCAATTATTTTGGTTGATTTTCTCTGGTCCATTTCCTTCTTATCAATTTTCCTTAAGACGAATTTCATGTGGCTACCTCAAAGCTGCTTTTGACACAAATCATTCAGAATATTCCTATGGAATTCAAAAAGTAGAAGTTTTTAACAAGTTTCAATTTGTCATAAAGAATGACATGGAAGTTTCTTACCTGCCCAATCTGATATTGGTAATGGCTTCCTGCAGCCCCGTTGAGGGCTGTAAGCCACATCCAGCTCAAGTGAGAGTGGTCAGGATCTAGTCATAATGTCTGTCATGGGTATAAATAGGGACCAGGAGCAGACAAGTACTAAAACACACAATTTCTGTCCTAGAATTCACAATGTCATCCATAAGATCTGTTATCCCTTTTCTTTTTCTTTTTTTTTTTTTTTTGAGAGGGAATCTCCCTCTGTTGCCCAGGCTGGAGTGCAGTGGCGCAATCTCGGCTCACTGCAACCTCTGCCTCCTCGGTTCAAGTGATTCTCCTGCCTCAGCCTCCCGAGTAGCTGGGACTACAGGTGCACGCCACCACGCCCAGCTGGTTTTTGTATTTTTAGTAGAGACAGGGTTTCACCACATTGGCCGGGCTGGTCTCGAATTCCTGACCTCATGATCCACCTGCCTCGGCCTCCCAAAGTGCTGGGAATACAGGTGTAAGCCACTACGCCCAGCCCTGTTATCCCTTTTCTATAGAGAATTTTTTAGAAGAATGTTGAAGATAATAGTGTGGAATTTCCTCAGTTATCACTTATTATCTTAGTCTCTTAAAACTCAATGTAAACTAATGATCGCTCTTAAAATTTTAACCCTCAATTTCAACAGTCCCTCTCTTATTTTTAATGTCCTCTCTTAATAACTTTTTCTTCAACATCTAACATAAAGGAAGGTATATGACCATAAATATAGATGCCCAGTCCAGGTGTGGACCCTCCCTTCGATCTTGCATTTTATTCATCACTTTTGTTTGACAGCTGTGAGTCAAGCAATACCCACTGGAGACCATCTCCTTTATTAGGCATGCACACAGACAGGGCAAGAGCCCAGCTAACAGACTGTTTCATTTAACCCCATTAGTTGCTAAGCAACCATTTCCCTGGCACCTTCCTAATCTAAGAACAGGTCAGCTCAATGAATATGAAGAGTTCAAGTCTTCCCAAATGTTCGAGTTAATTTTTTTTTTTTTGAGACAGGGTCTTACTTTGTCACCCAGGCTAGGGTACAGTGACATGATCATAGCTCACTGCAACCTCGAACTCCTGGGCTCAAGCAATCCTCCCATCAAGCTCACTTTTTCTGCAAACACATTTGATGCTTTGTCCATGCAGGCTAACACAAAGTCTCTACATCTTATAAAAATGGGGAAACAAAAGGGTTTAGGAATCATCCACAAGCTTTCAAACACCTTTTAAAAAATAATTAGATGGACTTCTTTTAATCCTATGAACATTTATATATATATAATGTATTTATTTCTCAAAATTTATATAATTATATTTTACATATTACCCATCTTGATCTTCATTTTCTCTTGGGTGAAATGAGCTTTGCTCCATCATTAAAAGAAAGATAAATAGTTTTTTCTTCTAGGGCCTCCCTATAGCTCTGGTGTGATAATGAGAACAATGACAATAGCAACTCATGTTTACCCAGCTTTTACCATGTGGCAGGCCCTGTGTCAGAGTCCTACTTGAATTAAAGTTTTATTTTCACAACTCTGTGAAGTCAGGTACTACTATTACCTCATTTTAAACATGAGAAAATGAGACCCAGTGAAATTAAGCAAACGGTTCAAGGCGATAAAGCTGGTAAGAGGGAGAGTCGGGACTTGAACCCATGCCTTCACCACCATTCTTCTGTGCCTACTCAGGTGCCTCCCTCTCAAGTTGGAAAGACTGCCAGATAAACTGGGAAACTGGTAGGCCCTTCAATTCAAAGAAAGACAAACAGAATCAGGCTGTGTTTAGACTTACAGACCTCCTCTCCTCCACTTCTTCAAACCACAGTTGACCTCAGAAGGATGAATATTCATTGCCTACCTGAGAAATGCATTCATATCTATTACTGGAATTTCACATGAAGTTAGCTAATTCCCATAATTGTAGCAGGATCAGAAAGCATCTAATACTTGTATTGTGATTATAAAGTGATATGAATGATTTGATATGAAAATCTCTCATTAGAGTCACAGCTCTCTGAGTGAGAAGCATACTGATAATTCAATCTTTCAGGAGTTCAGGCATGCAAGCCCAGAATGCAGTCAACATCAGATGGGCTAATGAAAAGCAACCGATTCAACAAGCAGCTGGATCATCCCACTCTATGGACAATTCGTTCCAAATCAGATTTTTACAAAGACGATAAACAGAATCATGGCATTTCTACAGATTCCAATAATTCTTTATACCAATTCATCAGGCTCACAGGATCAGATGTCTTCTCCTCTTTTGTAAAACATCTGCCTTCGCTCAACACTAATTTTTAAGAGTTTAAAAATTCCATCAGCTTTATTATCCTTTAAACATGTGGTCTTCTTTTGGATGAAGCTGAGGTTGACCGTATACCTGAGATCAAATAAGCATGAATGCAAATTTTACTTTAAATAAAACAGCATAAAAGTTATAATCTTAAAAGCATAGAAAAGATATGGCAGAAAAATAAAGTGATATTTCAATATATATTTGAAACAAATACATATAAAGGGGCTTAGCACAATGACTGTCACAGTGTAAATGATAAAAAATGTTAGCTATTATTATTACTTTAAAACTATTTTTCTAGCTTCATAATACTTACATTTACTAGATGTGAATCAGTTTAAATAAAAGAATAAAATGTAGACCAGACTTCACCATTATCCATCCATTCACTATAATGAAGACAATGAACTAATTATAAACGCGATAATGAAAATTAAATGAATGACTGAAATGTTAACAATTTCTCTGGCATTGATTCAAATAATTTTAAAGAAGAATATGATGATGGCTCTTTAGAAGGCTCTCAGCTTTCTATTTAAAAAAGAGGTAACATTTGACCAATATCACTGTTACCTGGTAACTTACCTTGAATTGACAAAAGGAAATCCATTTTTAATGAAATGTGCTCAGTTTCAAAAGGAAATTATGAAGTCATTTAATTTGAAAAAAAAAAAAAGCAACAACAAAAACCCACATACTTCTTCATGTTCACAAGGTCCTGTCCCACAGTACATCAGAATCAGCCTTATCCCACCACCATGTGCAGACTCTATTACAGCAGCTATGTGGCTGCTCATAGTCAGCCAGGCAATTAATGCTTATCGAATATCTACCAGATGTGAGGCTCTGTAACAGCCCGTTTATAAAATGCCAGGTTGACTGCTTAATTTGGCTTTGCAGAATGTCAAGGCCGCTATTAATAGTGCTACTTTTTCTGACTAAAATTAGAAGCTATTTCTTGAGTCCTCTTCCTAACAGATACTACCTAAATGATTAATCATCAGACACAAAGTGGACAATGCCAACTTCTACTCACAGACAACAGTATAATATGATTTAGGTGACAAATTAAGCACATTTTCATCTCTGGATGATTTTTTGTCAATTTCTACAGCTCCTTGGACTATATTTTTTCACACATTTTTCAAAAGTCACAATTGCTTTAGGACAAGACAAGAAGAGCCTATTGCAGCTTTTCAGGACTCTCTTCTGAACCAGATTCTAATATCTCCAGAGAGTTACAAGTTGAAGAGAAGAGAGACCACAGTTACCACATTAGGTTCCCAATTAGTTAGCCAAGGATTTTCCTGGCCCCTAGTTCTCTAGTGGCTTCAGGTGATACTATCCATGTAGAACTAGGCCAGCTGGATCTGAGAAAACAGTGAAAAGCCTGCTGGGTGACAAGTCTTTGGGACTTACAATTAAATCTCCATTTCAGCAGTATGCATCCACTAAGAATTCAAGAAATTCTACGTTAAGGAATGGGTACAATCCTTGTTGCCCTGGATTTTAAATGAATCTCAGCATCAGTAATGCCATACTGTCATGTGTAGAAAGAAAACAGAGACAGTGACCCTTGTGTTTCCCACCCCCACAGCAGCTTCTGTAAGGATAAAAACAAAAAATATATATTTAGTTTTAAAGAAAATCAGTTTTACTTGTGAAATTGAAAGAAGTTACACTGATCAGTTTTATATTTACAAGTGTATCTATAAATTCAGTTTATAGATTGTCAGCTTATAGTTTATAGATTGTCAATGCTGAAAAAATATGATCCAAAACCCCAGAGGGGAAAGATCTTTTGCTAACCAGTCCTATGCCTTCAAATGTTTTAAAAAACCTAAATTGTGGCTTTTTTGTCTTTACAATTTCTAAATTATATGTATTTAGTAATATATGAATATAGTTGATATGGTTTGGATCTCTGTCCCCACTTAAATCTCATCTCAAATTGTAATCCTCATAATCCCCACATGTCAAGGGAGAGACCTGGTGGGAGGTGATTGGATTGTGGAGACGGTTTCCCCCATGATGTTCTCATGACAGTCAGTGAGTTCTCATGATATCTGATGGTTTTATAAGTGGCAGTTTCCCCTGCTCTCTTCTCGCTCCTACCACCTTGTGAAGAAAGTGCTTGCCTCCTCTTCGCCTTATGCCATGATTGTAAGTTTCCTGAGGCCTCCCCAGCCATGTGGAACTGTAAGTCAATTAAAACTCTTTCCTTTATAAATTACCCAGTCTCAGGTATTTCTTTATAGCAGTATGAAAATGAACTAATACAAGTCTTCTTTAAAAATTAGGTGATCAGGGCTGGGCGCCATGGCTCATGCCTATAATCCCAGCACTTTGGGAGGCTGAGGCCAATGGATCACCTGAGGTCAGGAGTTCGAGACCAGCCTGGCCAACATGATGAAACCCCATCTCTACTAAAAATACAAAAATTAGCCAGGTGTGGTGGCAGGCGCCTGTAATCCCAGCTACTTGGAAAGCTGAGGCAGGAGAATCGCTTGAACCTGGGAGACGGAGATTGCAGTGAGTTGAGATCGCACCACTGCACTCCAGCCTGGGCAACAAGAGTGAAACTCCATCTCAAAAAAAAAAAAAAAATTAGGTGTTATCACAGGTAAAATTAGAGTCCTCCTTTCTGAGAAGGTAATACAGTATTTGAGCAAAGACCTGCAGAGGGCAAGGAAGGAAGTCATGTAGCTATCTAGAGGAGTAATCCAGGCAGAGGAAACAGCTGTGCAAAGATTCTCAGGTGCCTGTCTGAGGGAATAGCAAGAAGGGCAGTGTGACTGGAATGGACGGAGGTTGAGAGTTGTAGGAGGGATGACAGATGATGTAGAATCATGTACCCTTAAAGACTCTGGCTGTTATTCTGCATAAGAGTAGAAACCGTCATAGGGTTTGAGCAGAAATGACAATCCAATTTGTGTTTTCAGTGGGTTCACTGGGGCTGCAGTATTGAAACAGACTCCAAAGCATCAAGGATTGAAGAAGGAAAACAGACTAGGAGGATACTGCAAAACTCCAGGCAAAACATAATGGTAGTTTAGACCAGGGTGGTAGTACTAGAAGTGGCTGGAGTCTGGATATGTTTTGAAGGTCCAGCTATGGGGACCTGCCAGCAGTCTGGATGCAAGAAAATAGAGTCAAGGATGACACAGATAATTGCGGCCTGCATTAACTGGACAGTTGCCATTAATTGAAATTGAAAAAACTGTGCAATAAGCAGTTTTGTGGGAGAAAACTGGAAGTTTGATTTAGGACACATTGGATTTGTGATGCCTCTTAAACATCCAACTAGAGATGATAAGCAGGCTGTTGGATATATGATTTCACAATTTTAGGGGAAGTCCAATTCGGAAATATAAATTTGTCAGTCATCATCTCTGGTGGTTAATTTCATGTGCCAATTTGACTTGCCACAGGTGTTTAGATATTTGGTAAAACATTACTCTAGTATGTCTGTGAAGGTGTTTCTGGATGAAATTAACATGTTAATCAGTAGACTGAATAAAGCAGATTGTCCTCCTTAATGTAGATGGGACTCATCTAGTCAACTGAAAGCCTGAATAGAATCAAAAGACTGAAAAAGAGGGGATTCCCTCTACTGACTGTCTTCATGCTAGGACATGCCATCTTCAGGCTTGAACTGAAACATCAGCCCTTTCTGGGTCTCACGCCTGCCAGCTTTCCAACAGAAACTACATCATCGGCTCTCCTGGGTCTCAGGCTTTCAGGCTGACAGTAAAACTACACCATTGTTGAAAAACTACCTGTTGGGTACTATCCTCACTACATGGTGATGTGGTCATTCATACAGCAAACATCAGTGACACACAATTTACCCACGTAATAAACCTGCACATGTGCCCCTAAACCTAAAGTAAAAGTTAAAATAAAAAACCCAACACTATTGGCTCCCCTGGGTCTCCAGCTTGCCAAATGCAGATCTTGGGACTTGTCAGCCTCCATAATCGTATGAGCCAACTCCTTATAATAAATCTTTTTTTCTCTATATATACAACCTATTGGTTCTGCTTCTCTGGAGGACTCTAATACATTATCATATAGGAATACATATATACTACCCTATATAATACATCATCATATAGGAATACATGTATGTGTGAGATCCTGTGAGATCACCATGGAAGCTAATAGAGACAGCAAGGTGGAAGGACTGAACCTGGGTCAGTCCTGTAATTTTAAGAAGCTGGGGAGATTGGGAAAAACTAGCAAGGAAGGTTCAGAAGGGGCAGCCAGCAAGTGGGAGGAAAACCTGGAGAATGTGGAACAAAGTCAAGTGAAGAAAATGTTTCAAGGAAGAAATAGGAAGTGACTGAGATGCTGATGCGTTGAGGAAAATGAGGACTGGAAACTGATTATTGAACTTGGCTGTATTTTATTTATAATTTTTGTATCTATATTGAGATATGGTTCTCATTATGCTAGTCTTATAAAATGAGGTGTGTGGCTTTCCATCTTCTTCTGGACTTTAGAACAGGTTTATGTAATATAGGAATCAGCTATTAAGTAAAGAGTTGATAGTACTAGTAGGAAAAAAATCTAGGCCCATTGCCTTTCTGACAAAATGTGTGCTTATTTTGTCAACAAAATAGGCCCACTTTTGATAATTACATTTTTCTATAAACTTGTTACCAAGATTTTGAAGTTTATTGGCATAGAGTTTCTATAGTATTTCTGGTAATCATTATTTTCATCTCTAGATAACACCTTTTTTCATTTTTTATATTGTATTTCTTTTTTTGAAATTCTTGAATAATTTGGTCAAAGTTTATCTAAATAATTTGTATTTTTAAAAAATAGTATAGGCTGGGTGCAGTGGCTCACGCCTGTAATCCCAGCACTTTGGGAGGCCGAAGCGGGTGGATCATGAGGTCAGGAGTTTGAGACCAGCCTGGCCAACACGGTGAAACCCTGTCTCTACTAAAAATACAAAAATCAGCCTGGCACGGTGGCTGGCACCTATAATCCCAGTTACTTGGCAGGCTGAGGCAGGAGAATTGCTTGAACCCAGGAGGCAGAGGTTGCAGTGAGCCAAGATTGCTGCACTCTAGCCTGGGCGACAGAGCAAGACTCTGTCTCAAAAAAAAAAAAAAAAAAATTCGCCGGGAGTGGTGATGGGCGCCTGTAGTTCCAGCTACTTGGGAGGCTGAGGTAGGAGAATGGCTTGAACCCGGGAGGCAGAGATTGCAGTGAGCCAAGATCGCGCCACTGCACTCCAGCCTGGCGACAGAGGGAGACTCCGTCTCAAAAAAAGAAAATAGTATAAAAATTTTTTTGCTGTTTCATGAATGTCTGCTTTTATGCTTATTTACTTCCAATTATTTTATTACGGTTGAAAGCATAGCTCTTATTTTGGATGTCTCCTATTTTTAAATAAATGCACCAAGGTTTGGAGAGGACACTGATGTGCCACTCAGATCCCTCTTTAATGAAGAATTCTTCATTCCTAGCTGCTGAGAGAACTGTGGGCAGACCGACTTCACCTGCCAGCCTTTTCAGGGATTGACTCAGCTACTGTGAGTGCTTCACCCGAAGTCCCACACCTTACCGGGGTGGCCCACATCCAGTGACTAATCTTTGCAAGAATATAAGTCCTAATCACACTGGCCAACTCTGAAAAACATTTTAGCTCCTGTGTTCCCTGTGGAGTCCACTGAGGCTGTCGTTGGGCTTGCATTGAAGACCAACTTCTCCTTCCTGCCTTCTTTACCTCCCTTCTGCAGTTATTGGGTCCAAGGGCTCTTCACACTAATCTCTGTCTCAGAGTCTACTTCCCAAGGAACGCAAATTGCAAAAAGGCTATAACTATACTTCTTCAAGTCCATATTAAGAACGCTGCTTTTTTCTGGTATTCAGTTTTAAATATTTTGTAATTTCTATATTTGTTTTCCTTTTATCTCATAGACTTTTAAGAGTATTTTTTACAATTGCAAGTATATGATAGGAGGAGGCTAGATTATCAATTTTGTTACAGATTTCTGATTTTAATGAGTCCTTTATGTCCAATTATGTACTTGATCAGAACAACCTACTTAACTATCATTTTTGTAATTGTTTCATGTGTGCTGAGAATGTGTACTATCCATATCTTCCGTCTACATTTAAAAAAATCTATATGATCTGTCAGTTTCAGAGAGAAGAATGTTAAAAATCTCCAACTGATTGAGAATTTGTTAATTTCTCCTTATGATTCTATCATTTTCCTAACATATTTTGAAGGTTTGTTAAGTGAATATAGGTTCATAACTGTCATCTGATAGATTGTTACTTTGGCCAGCATAGAATTTCTACTTTTTCTCCCTTCCAATTCTGTTCATCTTGAATTCTACTTTATAGCATATTAATATTGTTACACATATGTTTTTGTTAGCATCTGACTAATATTTTTTCTGAGGTACATTTCTTTATTAATAAATATACTTGGATTGATTTTTTTTTTTTTTTGAGACTGAGTCTTGCTCTGTCGTCCAGGCTGGAGCACAGTGGTGTGATCTCGGCTCGCTGCAACCTCTGCCTCCCTGGTTCAGGCGATTCTCCTATTCTCCTGCCTCAGCCTCCTGAGCAGCTGGGATCACAGGAGTGCGCCAACACGCCCAGATAATTTTTTTTTTTTTTTTTTAAGTAGAGACAGGGTTTCACCATGTTGGCCAGGCTGGTCTCAAACTACTGACCTCAGGCGATCCGCCTGCCTTGGTGTCCGTGCCTGGCCAAATTGATATTTTTAATAAATCTTAGTTTGTATCTTTCAACAGATGCCTTTGATCAGTTCACATATTTTGTGATTACTAAAATATTTGGTCTAATATCTGTCATCTTCTGTTGTGTTTTTACATTCCATGCTTTCTCTGTTTCTTTTTTTCTCCTTAGAAGTATGTAGCATTGAAAAAAGTTTCGATTCAATATTAATTATACTTACTGTACTCTTTTTGACTGCATCAATAACTAGTTTCCACACTGTCCTAGTTTCATCCACTTGTTGAGTCTGTTAATGATTTTGTATTAACTAAGGTAATGTGGCATTAAAATCTTAGGCAGTTTTATAATAGATAAAACCCAAATTCCCAGTGACTTCACTCACTCATGACACAGCATAGTGTGTGTATTCCTAGTTAAGCCATCATCCACATGATCACTTGGGGCCCAGGTTCCTTCCATCACGGGGCTCTGCATTCCTCTAGGTCCTCTGCTGCCATTCCATCTGGCTTGTAGATGAGAAAGAGAGACTGTGGAACAGGTACCTCTGTTTCATAACCATTGTGTCCTTCTAGTCATACCCTCCTGGCAAGGGCTAGTCATATGGCCCCACCTAGATACAAGTGGGACTGGAAAGTGAAGTCACTGGCTGAGAAGAATTTCCAAGCCATATCCCCAAAAGAGAAACCTAAATTGGCTGGCCATCTCTGCCACACTCTTGTTTCTATAATTTCCAGAATAGTCTGGCTTGTCTATCACAACTTCAAGATTAGAAGACCCTGGCTCCTTTGCATGGTACCATTTATTTCTCTGTCTTCCATCCTTTTTTCCACCTAACCCTTGCCTGACTCCTCACCTTTGTTCTGTATTTGGCATTATCTGTTCCATCAGTCCCTCTCCAGAATGGAATGCTACCAGCAAACCTCAAACTATAGTTAGAGAAGGGCAGCAACTCTCCCAATGATGAGGGCATTCCCTATGGTAGCCAAAACATTGGGTAAGAACCCTGGAGATTAAGAAGCTTCCAGCTGAAATTAGCTATGCTATCTGTCTCTGAGTTCAAGTCAAATCTTTTAGATGCACCAGCTTGGCTCTGCTTATTAATCTCCTAAATCTCAAGGACATGGCATGGGATAACTCATCCAGATGTGTCCAGGATTTTTTTTCTTTTTTCTTTTTGAAATTAACATCTATAAAACGTCATGCTAATTTACTCACCAAATTCCAGTCATACTGACTTTAAAAACCAGTTAACATTTCCAACCTGTATTTAGTCCATTTTCACACTGCTATAAAGAAATACCTGAGACTGGGTAATTTATAAAGGAAGAGGTTTAATTGACTCACAGTTCCACATGGCTGGGGAGGCTTCAGGAAACTTACAATAATGGTGGAAGGCAAAGGGGAAGCAAGGACTTCTTCACATGGCAGCAGGAGACAGAAGAGAGTGAAGGGGATAGGGCCTCTTATAAAACCATCAGTTCTTGTGAGAACTCACTCATTATCATGAGAACATCATGGGGTAAACCAACCGCAGGATCCAACCATCTCACACCAGGTCCCTCCCAGGATTATGGGGATTGCAATTCGAGATGAGATTTGGCTGGGGACACAGCCCAAACCATATAATTCTGCCCCTGGCCCCTCCCAAATCTCGTCCTCACACTTCAAAACACAATCATTCCCTTCCAACAATCCCCCAAAGTCTTAACTCAATCCAACATTAACTCAAAAGTCCAAATCCAAAGTCTCATCTAAGACAAGGAAAGTCCCTTCCACCTATAAGCCTGTAAAATCAAAAGCAAGTTAGTTACTTCCTAGATAAAATGGGTGTACAAGCATTGGGTAAATACACTCGTTCCAAAAGTGAGAAATTGGCCAAAATAAAGGAGCTACAGTTCCATGCAAGTCTGAAATCCAACAAGGCAGTCATTAAACCTTAAAGTTCCAAAATGATCTCCTTTGACGCCATGTCTCACATCTAAGGCACACTGATGCAAGAGGTGGGCTCCCATAGCCTTGGGCAGCCACCCCTGTGGCTTCGCAGGGTACAGTCCCCCTCTCTGCTTTCATGGGCTTGCATTGAATGTCTTCAGCTTTCCGAGGCACACAGTGCAAGCTGTCAGTGGAGCTGCCATTCTGGGGTCTGGAGGATGGTGGCCCTCTTCTCACAGCTCCACTAGGCAGTGCCCCAGTGGGGACTCTGTGTGGGGGCTCCGACCCCACATTTCCCTTCTGCATTGCCCTAGCAGAGGTTCTCCATGAGGGCTCCAACCCTGCAGCAAATTTCTGCCTGGACATGCAGGTATTTCCATACATCCTCTAAATCTAGGAGGAGGTTCCCAAGACTCAATTCTTGACTTCTGTGCACCCACAGCCCCAACATCACATGGAAGCCTCCAAGGCTTGGAGCTTGTGCCCTCTGAAGCAATGGTCTGAGCTGTACCTTGGTCCCTTTTAGCCATGGCTGAGATGCAGGGGACCAAGTCCCAAGGCTGCACATAGTGACGGGCCGACCCATGAAACCATATTTTCCTCCTAGGCCTCCATGCCTCTGATGGGAGGGGCTGCCACCAAGATCTCTGACATGCCCTGGGGACATTTTCCCCATGGTCTTGGCAATTAACATTCTGCTCCTTGTTACTTATGCAAATTTCTGCAGGCAGCTTGAACGTCTCCCCAGAAAATGGGTTTTCCTTTTCTATTGCATCATCAGGCTGCAAATTTTCCAAACTTTTATGCTCTCCTTCCCTTTTAAACATAGGTTCCAATTTCACATCATCTCTCTCACATTCAGAGTTCCACAGGTCTCTAGGGCAGGGGCAAAATGCCGACAGTCTCTTTGCTAAAGCATAGCAATAGTGACCTTTGCTCCAGTTCCCAAGAAGTTCCTCATTTCCATCTGAGACCACCTTAGCCTGGACTTCACTGTCTACATCATATCAGCATTTTGGTAAAGTCCATTCAACAAGTCTCTAGGGAGCTTCAAACTTTCCCACATCTTCCTGTCTTCTTCTGAGCCCTCCAAACTGTTCCAACCTCTGCCTGTTATCCAAAGTTGCTTCCATATTTTCAAGTATCTTTATAGCAGTACCCTACTCTCTGCAGTATCAATTTCCTGTACTGGTCCATTCTCACACTGCAATAAATACCCAAGACTGGGTGATTTATAAAGAAAGGAGGTTTAATTGACTCACAGTTGCACATGGCTAGGGAGGCCTCAGGAAACTTACAATCATGGCAGAAGGCAAGGGGCAAGCAAGGACCTTCTTCAGAAGGCAGCAGGGGAGAGAAAAAGGGAGTGAAGGAAAAAGAGCCCCATATAAAACCATCAGATCTCCTGAGAACTCCCTCACTACAATGAGAACACCATGGGGGAAACCACCGCCATGATTCAATCACCTCCCACCAGGTCCTTCCCCTGACAAATGGGGATTATGGGGATTAAAATTCGAGATGAGATTTGGGTGGGGACACAGAGCCTAACCATATCACAACCTTTGCTCTCATACTAAGCTATTCAGCAGAGTAGGAGGCAGGTGAGAATGGGGTTGGGAATTTGACCTTTGAAGTCCAACAGATAAGGATTTGAGACTTGGCTGCATCCTTTATGAGTTACATGACCTTAGCTGGGTTACTTTACTTCCCTAAGCCTCAGTTTTCATGAACACAAAATGAAGATACCTGCCTCAGAGAACTGTTGCATGGACAGTGACAAAATGCAGATTATCTGGCTTATAGTAGACAATCAGAATTTGTCAAATGGGTCAATGAATTCTTTTTCTCTAAACTTCAGTAGTAGTGCCTATGAAGTCATATTTAAATTCTGTGTACTGTTTCACTATTGTAGTATTCTTGAAACATTTTTTCACTGTGCAAACACCATCACCATACTGTTGAGTAGTAGCCCTAATATTTACATATTTATAAATTATAAATTATATAGACATACTATATACCAATTTGTTATATATACTATAAAACAAACCCAAAGCAGAAATAAAGTTGCAAATAATAATTTACAGATACGAAAAAAGAAACTTTTTTTTTTTTTTTTGAGACGGAGTCTCGCTCTGTCACCCAGGTTGGAGTGCAGTGGCGCGATTTCGGCTCACTGCAAGCTCCGCCTCCCGGGTTCACGCCATTCTCCTGCCTCAGCCTCTCCGAGTAGCTGCGACTACAGGCGCCCACCACAACGCCCGGCTAATTTTTTGTATTTTTAGTAGAGACGGGGTTTCACCGTGGTCTTGATCTCCTGACCTCGTGATCCGCCCGCCACGGCCTCCCAAAGTGGTGGGGTTACAAGCGTGAGCCACGGCGCCCGGCCAAAAAAGAAACATATACAGAGAGAAAATTTCCTTCCCCTGCACCCTCAGGGGTGCACAAACCCCTACTTCAGAGACCACTGCACTTATGTTAATTTTTCAGTTTAAACTTTAGGACAACAAATTTATAAAATGAGCATTTATCCCTTTTGACAAATATTGTTTGTGGCAACAGGGGAAATAACCCAATATAATAAGTCACAGCAAGTTGCAAAGTTGGCTTGACTCCCATAATACGCTGTTTTCTTCCTTTGCCTTAGTAGGTGATAATCATTTCAGCTCTGGGAACACTGAAAAATTAATATAAATTCTGATTGAAGGTATTTGTGGAACTTATATCAAAAGATTGAATAACTTTTTAATTAATACTTAGGCTGTTTACTAAATGTTATTTTATCCTTTCATGGAATCAAAATGCCTTAACTGGGTATTTCATTGTTAGACCTGACACGTGTACATGTGTGTATGTGTGTGTCTGTGTATGTATGTGGTGGGGAGAGCAGGGTGACTTCAGGGACTTTCTTAGTAAAAACAAAAACACCACCTAGCATTGGTGTAACTATTTTTATTCCTTTCTAAGCACTGCCACTTATATTATATCAAGTGATTTTTTAAATGGAATAACAAAACAGGTACCATTCTCTCCATTTTACAACAACGAAACCAAGGCACAAAAACTGAAGTGAGTTTCCTCATATAATGTGGCAACTTAACAATAGAGAGGACATTCTAATAAAAAGTTATTTAACACTAGCTCAGTGCACTTTTCTGATACCAAACTGCTGAAATACACTGGATATTAAAATCTGCATCTTCTATGATGTGCAACTTTACACATATTTTTCTCATAAAGTACAAGGAATGTTATTTCTCACAAGAAAATGTACAATTATTTTAAGAGCATTTACTATATTTCACTTATGTAAAGGCTAGGAGGGGTAAGTATCCTTTTCTCACAAAATTACATGTCATGACATTTCTGCCATTTAAGATTACAAAACTCACTGACCAAACACCATTTAGAGGCACAGAGATCTCTATTATTAACAAGAAAAAGATGAAATTTTGAAAAAGGGCTCTTTTGGACTTAGAGTGCTGAGGAAGGTGCAGTGAAAAATAACCACAACCAAAACAATAACAATAATAATAAAGTTTTCTACATCAAACATGTCAAATCCTTCTGACTCTCTTTTGATATTCTGCTTTGAAATAAAGGAACCCAATTACTTCTTATATGAGAACCCTCATATATAGTTTAATTGCTCTTCAAATCTGAAACCTATGACTGAATTACGTTTCTCAACATTTTCAGGTGGCACTATGAGACCAGGATTACAGAAATGATAGTAAGCAAAGCCACATCTGAAAATTCACAAAAATTATGAAAAATTCACTGCAGCTAGCAACTGTTAAGATGCCTGTATTAGTTTCCTTGCTACTGTGATAGTACCACAAACTTCGTGGTTTAAAACAACACAAATCTATTTTATAGTTCTGGAAGTCAAAAGCCCAAAATGCGTCTCACTGGGCTAAAATCAAGGTGTCAGCAGGGCTGTATTCCTTCTGGAGGCTTTAGGAAGAACTTGTTTCCTTGTCTTTTCCAGCTTACAGAAGTCACTTGTTTCATGGTCTCCTCCTTCAAAGCCAACAATCACATCACTCCAACCTCTGCTTCTGTCCTGACTCCTCTGACTGTGACTCTGCTGACTCTTTCTTCTATCTTTAGGACTTTGTGGTTACATTGGGTCCAGCTACATAATCCAGGATAGTATTGCCACCTCAAGGTCCATCACTTCATTATTACAGGCTCCAGAAATTAGGGCATGGACATCTTTGGCCAGGGGGTCTATTATTTTGCCTACCATAATGCTCAATAGCTAATGGCAGACATGAACAGGGAGTACTCAGTTCCACACAGCTTGGTATAATGGAAAATGGAGGGGGTTTGGAGGCATGTTTGCCTAGGCTAGGGTTTAGACTCTAGCATTCAGCAGTTACGTGATTGATTACAAATTAATTCAATGTTTAGCAAACTTTAATTCATCATCTGTAAAGTTGTTGTAATATCTACATTTAAGGATTATTGGGGGGATTAAACAAAGTAACAAATGTGAATACAACTAGGACTGAGGTTAGCAAACAAATAAAGAAAGATTTTTAATAAACGCCAGTTTACCTTCCTTTCCATGTTTAGGTTTTGCAGCTTGAATAACAATCATTATTTCCTTAGTAAGAAGTGTATTCATTTTCTGGCCTATCCTTGCATCATTAATATCCTTTTCTACTCAGAAGTTTTAAATACTTTTATGTCAGCATGTCCATAAGCAGGAGATAAGTTTGTAATGACTCGGATGCTTAATTTTAATTCAAGATAAATGATCACTCTGAATATGTATCTATTTTTCACACTACAGTGAATTGGGGTTTTAGATGAGTTTATAGAGTTTCTAAAGGTTGTGACAAGAAATTCAACAATTTTATAATTTAATAGTTTTCTTTGCTCTTTTAAAGAGACTTTTCTCATTCATTATGCAAAAAGGCACAAATTTCCTTTTATTATAGCTTTGAGATTCACTCCCACCACACACATACTTGTGATTAGTAATTAATAATTGTCATCACTATTAGAAAACTTGTCTCATTCCAACCATTAGGGCATAATTCACTGGCTTCTCTAGGTGATTTATCACAAAGCTTCTTAAAAGTGACTTTTGCCTAAAATATGAAGATATGGTTCCTATTATTTTCAGCAACCACCTCTTGCAGGATTCAAAGAAGAACATGTCTCCCATTCTTAATAAACAGCAGTTTTGTTAAATGACCTCAAGTGCTAACCTAGTAGAATTTAACGTGAACTTGGCTAGACAAGAGATAAATGACCTAGCAATGATATGATGGCATACATGATAATTCCCTCATGTCCAAACGCTGTCCCTCCTCCCACTACCACTCATGATAAAATAATGGTCCACTGGGAAGCTCTCATTTACCATCTAGAAATAGAACCTTCTTCTGAGCAGGCTGTTAGGTATAGCAGGTGTACGTGTTAAAGATCAGAAAATGCTTCCACACATCCACTGGTATTTGCTTTCCTCTGCTGGACAATCTCCAGTAAAGAATAGTAAACTTGGTACTTCAAATTTCTAATATGCTGTCCAAAATACTCAGTGAAACTAATGATTGTTTTACTACTTAGGAAAAAAAGAAAGCCTAATAAGATACATAAAGGAATGTGCCTTTTATTCTTCTAGGTACTTTTTTATATTCAAAAGTTCTTGATTTCCCAAAAGCCACTATTTCCTTCCCTAGGTAGCAAGATTTGAGGTCATTTGAGGATATTTGTTTTTCAACATTAGGACCAAAATACAACACACAGCAGAATATTAGCAAGTATTTTTTTAGGAAAACACTTTTGTGGTTCCTCACTCATACACACACAAAATTGAGGAAACATGAGGGATAAATTCTTCAATATCTAAAATAACAAGATGATATATAATCAGAAATAGTTAAGGGGAACAATGCACTATATAGGATTCAATTTATAAACTTTTGTAATAATTTAAATGATGCTGATAAATGTTTTAAAAAATATTTGCTACACTTATTATCTGCAAAGTCCAGGGCTGGGTATTCAGCTATGATCTGGGGGAGAGGGAGAGACAGACATATGAACAAGTCCTGACTCTTCTAATACAGCAACCCTGCTCCACCAGCCCTACCAGAGCCAAGCACCACTGCTGCTGCAACTGCTGTCTTACCTCTATACCCATTCTGCTGATCCATTGCTTCTATCACTTTCCACTGATTGATAATCTGCAGTGAACCAGGAGCATGGCATAGAGTGTCCTATAAATATTTTTCTGTATGCTCACTTTTTTTTTTTTTTTTTTTTTTTTTGTCAAATCAGTGCCTGATCCTTTTCCTTACCCTAAGTCTAGGGAAAAACCCAGTAGCTTGTTTGGGCCATTTCAGTTTGTTTATTCTGCCTTCCTCTGTGTGAGGCTAAACAGAAGTCTTCATAGTTCTCCAGGCTGCAGGCTGGAGACATAGAAGCCTCTGTGTGGGGCCCTCTCACTGACAATGCCCCTCAGTCCCCAGAGCTGGTATCAAAGCTTTTTCAAGGGGAATGCAAATTACCTCCCTTCTTGACCTTAATTATAGTGTCTCAAAAACATATAATCTCCACATACATTTTTTAAGACACTAGAATTAAGATTAAGAAGACCCTCACGTGCTTTTTAAACTGCTCTTAAATATGAAACAGTCTGATGCTTTAGTAGGTATGAGCATGAAATACAGGCAGTCTTTCCTTCTACTGTCCAGCAAGATCACATTTCACTTCCATCAAATAGGGAATTCAAAGTAGTAAACAAATTATGTTCAAAACAGTAAACTAGCGTATGTAACAACAACAACAAAGCATGTACAAATCCTCCCTTTCACAATATACAAAGCAAAGGAACATCTCGCATGCATTTTTCCAGTCCATACACAACTTTCCAAACATTTCAAAGTACATTTATACAAGTGCTCTATTGCAAATTAAAACAGAAGCAACAGCATGGCCAGTAAATCCTAAAGTGTCGATAGTGAAGAGAGTTTTAGGTGCCCAGAGAGCCAATGTGTTTAAAAGATTAAACATTTACATTTGAAAAGCAAAGCCTTGCGAAAAATTATTTCAAAATAAAAGAAACATTTAAATTTAAAATATAGATGAAATTGGTAAAAATTGTCTCTGCTGAATAGCCTTAAAAATACTGTTTCTTAACAGAATTTTGGTTTATAAACCAAAATTCCACTCTATTGTGCTTGAAAACTAGATACCATCACCAATACTAGTAAACCATCAGTTTAACATCTAGTATGTTTCAGACCCTTGGTTTGCAACTGACATTTATCTTATTTAATTTCTACATTAGCCCCATTAAGTGACAACTCACCTGCTTTTACAATTGGAGAAGAATATAAAACTTAATGATATAAAGCCACTTGCCCAAGGATATACACAGCCAGAAAGTATGTGAACAGAGATGTTATAAATTAGACTGGTCTCAGTCTAAAACTATACTGCCCTTCTAATTAATTATCCTATAAAAATGCGGCTGGGGAGCCAAGACGGCCGGCTAAGCACAGCCAGGAGGAACATCTCCCATCAAGAGACAGGGACATAGGGAAGAATGAAATACTCTCTGAGCAGATCTTTGGAGAGAAGGCAATGAGTGGATGGAAGGAAGACATAGAGGCCAGGCTGGAGGGAAAGGATGCTAGGAACCCTGCACAGGGCTGCTGAGCAAAGGGACTCATTCCTGGGCTCCAGCGTCTCCTGGGGAAGGAGTGAGATGAACAGCCAAGGTATGGCCTGCTCTCACCTTGGATCTCCAGAATCCTATCAGCAGGAGACCCCATGACCTCCACAAACACTTACCCTGGCAGGGAGAGCTGCCAGGAGAGGTGGCAGGAGCAGGACTCCAGCCAGTGCACAGCTCAGAGAGTTTGGCATGGGAGTGGCTGCAATGGAGCACAGCCAGGGACACCTACGCTCCTCTAGGAGACATTAGCCTAGGGGTGACTGTCATACCTGGACACAGCAGGGTGGTCTTCCTTGTGAGATGGGGCTAGTCTGATCTGAGCACTACCCTGTCTTCTGGCCTCTCCTAGGGCTCCAGACTGGTTGCACCCACTTGCAGTGCAGCCTCAGATGCCCAAACAGGGTGCTTCCTGGAAAACTTTACCATAGCTCCTTTGCTGGCAGACTGCACCTGACTGTCAGAGAGTTCCAGTGCACTGGAACCGGCTGAAACACACAGGGCTGCCACGGTCTTCCCCCACCACAACCTCCCTCTGCTGGTGCTAGCACACCCTGACACCCAACCCCATGCCACCACCACTGGCACAAATGCCAGACAACCTGTTACCACAGTGCCCTGACCCTGTCATGTCACCACCACCACAACCACCTGCATGAGGAGGTGCAGCAGGAATGCCACTGCCCTGCTTCCACTGGTCCCACATCCCAGGCAATTCACATACACACTGAGCATTGCTGCAATCGCTGGCATGTGCAAGCGAGCACAAATTCCACTGCCAACACCTTGATGAAGTAATTTAGTGGGCAGCCCTCATCGGGGTGTTGTGGACAGCAGACTGGGAACACTTTGGCCCCTCCAGTGCAGCAGGTTCCTAACCTTTAGGGGCCAGAGAACAAAGCTAGGGCCCCACTGCCAGCCCCCCAGAGTTAGAGCACATAGTCCAGGAGTGCTGAGCTGAGCCTTGGCCTCATAAAATCTTCCACAAATGAGGCCAGTTGACTGTACCTACCTTATAGCACAATCAAACTCCCAAGGGTATCAAAGATGAAAAAGCAAAAAACCTCATCCAAAGGACAGCAACCTGAAGACTGAAGAAACATCAGCCCATACACATGAGAAAGAACCAGTGCAAGAACTGTGGCAACTCAGAAAACCAGAGGGTCTTCCTACCTTCAACCAGCCACGCTAGTTTGTCAGCAATGGTTCTTAACCAGGCTGAAATGGCTCAAATGACACATAGAATTCAAAATATGGATAGGAACAAAGATCATCCATATTCAAGAGAAAATCAAAACCCAATCCAAGAGATATAAGAAGTACAATAAAATGAAACAGGAGCGAAAAGATGAAATGGCCACTTTAAGAAATGATCTGGTAAAGCTGAAAAGCTCACTTTAAGGATTACATAATACAATCCTAAGTACTAACGGCAGAAATGATGAAGCCAAAGAAAGAGTCTCAGAACTCGAAGACTACCTCTCCAAAATATTTCAGTCAGACAAAAATAAATAAAAATGAGTAAAAAAGAATGAGCAAAACCTCCAAGAAATATGGGATAATGTAAAGAGACCAAATCTACAATTCATTAGCATCCCTAAAAGAGAGAGAGAAAAAAACAAGCAACTTAGAAAACATATTTAAAGATATCTTTCATGAAAATTTCCCCAACCTTGCTAAAGAGGCCAACACTAAAATTTGGGAAATGTGGAGAACCCCTGTGAGACACTATATGAGATGACCATCCCCAAGACACATAGTCCTCAGATTCCATAAGGTAGATATGAAAGAAAAACTCTTAAAAGCATCTAGAGAGAAGGGGTTGGTCACCTAAAAAGAGATCACCATCAAGCTAACAGTGGACCTTTCACCAGAAACCCTATAAGCAGAAGAGTTTGGGGGCCTATATTCAGCATTCTTAAAGAAAAAAAATCCAACAAAGAATGTCATACCTAACCAAACTAAGTTTCATAAGCAAAGGAGAAATAAGATCCTTTTCAGACAAGCAAATGGTACAGGAATTCATTACCACAAGATCTGCCTTACAAGAAGTCCTTAAAAGAGTGCTAACCATGGAAACAAAGACCATTACTGGTCACCACAAAAACACATTTAAGTATATAGAGCAACTACACAATCAAGTCTGCATAGTAACCAGCTAACAACACGATGACAGGATCAAACCCACACATATCAATATTAACCTTAAATGTAAACAGTATAAATGCCCAAATAAAAGGCACAGAATGTCAACTTGGATAAAGAAGCAAGACCCAACTGTATGCTCGCTTCAAGAGGCCCATCTCACATGCAATAACCCCGATAGGCTCAAAGTAAAGAAATGGAGAAAAATCTGCCAAGCAAACAGAAAACAGAAAAGAGCAGAGCTTTCTATTCTAGTATCAGGCAAAAAAGACTATAAATCAACAACAACAATTTAAAAAGACAAAGAAGAGCATTACCTAATGGTGAAGGACTCACTCAATGAAAAGACCTAACTATCCTAAATATGTATGCACCTAATAGAAGGGCACCCAGCTTCATAAAGCAAGTTCTTACAGACCTATGAAGAGACCTAGATAACTGAACAATAATAATGAGAGGCTTAAACACTCCACTGATAGTATTAGATCATTGAGGGAAAAAACTAACAAAGATATTCAGGACCTATACTCAGCACTTGACCAAATGGAACTAACAGACATCTACTGAACTTGATGCCCCAAAACAAGAGCATATACATTCTTCTCTTCTGTACATACTATACATTCTTCTCTTCTGCACATACCACATACTCTAAAATCAAGCACACATTTAGCCAGAAAACAATCCTCAGAAAATTAAAAAAAATAAAAAACTGAAAATATACCAACCACATTCTCAGAGCACAGTCTGATAGAAAAGACATTAATACTAAGAAAATCTCTCAAAACCACACAATTATATGGAAATTAAACAATCTGTTACAGAATGACTTGGGTAAACAGTGAAATTAAGGCATAAATCAAGAAATTATTTGAAACTAATGAGAATCAATTCACCACATGCCAGAATCTCTGGGACACAGCTAAAGCAGACTGAAGAAGAATGTTTATAGTAATAAATGCCCACATCAAAAAGTTAGAAATATCTCAAATTAACAACCTAATATCACACCTAGAAGAAATAGGAAAAGAACAGCAACCAACTCCCAAAGCTAGCAGAAGACAAGAAATAACCAAAATCAGAGCTGAATCGAATGAAATTGAGATGTGAAAAACCATACAAAAGTTCAACAAATTCAGAAGTTTGCTTTTTGAAAGAATAAATAAGAGAGATAGACCACTACCTAGATTAATAAAGAAAAAAAGAGAGAAGATCTAAAAAAACACAAACAGAAATGACAAAGGAGACATTACCACTGACCCCACAGATATGCAAAATACCCTCAGAGACTATTATGAACACCTCTAGGCACAAAAACTAGAAAACCTAGAGGAAATGAATAAATTCCTAGAAACATACAATCTTCCAAGACTGAACCAGGAAGAAATTGAAATCCTGAACAGACAAAATGAGTTCCAAAATTAAATCAGTAATAAAAAGCCTACCAACCAGAAAAAGCCCAGGACCAGACAGATTCACAGTCAAATTCTACCAGGTGTACAAAAAAGTGCTGATACCATTCCCACTAAAACTATTCAAAAACATTGGGGAGGATGTACTCTTCCCTAAATCATTCTATGAGAGCAGCATCATCCTGATACCAAAACCTAGCAGACCCATAACAAAAAAAAAAGAAAGAAAACTTCAGGCCAATAGCCTTGATGAACATAGATGCAAAAATCCACAACAAAATACTAATAAACCAGACCCAGCAGCACATCAAAAAGCTAATGCACTACGATCAAATAGGCTTTTTCCTTGGGAAGCAAGGTTGGTTCACCATATGCAAATCAATTATTGTGACTCATCACATAAACAAAACTAAAACCAAAACCTTATGATTCTCCTAATAGATGCAGAAAAGGCTTTTGATAAAATTAAATATCCCTTCATGTTAAAAAAAACTCAATAAACTAGGCACTGAAGGAACATATCCCAAAATAATAACAGCCATCTACAACAAACCCTCAGCAAACATACTAAATAGGCAAACGCTGGAAGCATTCCCCTTGAGAACGGGAACAAGACAAGAATGCCCACTCTCACCACTCCTATTCAACACAGCACTGGAAGTCCTAGCCAGAACAATCAGGAAATAGAAAGAAATGAAAGGCATCCAAATAGGAAGACAGGAATCAAACTATCCCTGTTTGCTGATGATGTGACTATATACTTAGAAAACCTCACATAGCCTCTGCCCAAAAGTTCTGACATCTGATAAACAACCTCAGCAAAGCTTCAGAATACAAAATCAGTGTACAAAAATCAGTAGCATTTCTATACACCAACAACGTCCAAGCTGAAAGCCAAATCAAGAACTCAGTCACATTCACGATGGCCATAAAAAGAATAAAATACCTGGAATATAACCAACCAGGGAGGTGAAAGATCTCTACAAGATTTACAAAACACTGCTCAAAGAAATCAGAGATAATACAAACAAATGGAAAAACATTCCATACTCATGAATAGGAAGAATCAATATTGTTAAATGGCCATACTTCCCAAAGCAACATATAAATTCAGTGCTATTCCTATAAAACAACCAATAGCATTCTTCACAGAATTAGAAATAACTATTTTAAAATTCATACAGAACCAAAAGAGAGCTTGAATACTTAAAGAAAAAAGAACAAAGCAGGAAGCCTCACATTAACTAACTTCAAACTATACTACCAGACTACAGTAACCAAAACAGCATGATATTGGTACAAAAGCAGAGACATAGACCAACGGAACAGAATAGAGAACCAGAAATAAAGCCACATACCTACAACCATCTGATCTTTGTTAAAGTCAACAAAAACAAGCAATGGGAAAAAGACTCCCTATTCAATCAATGGTGCTGGTATAACTAGCTAGCCATATGCAGAACTTTGAAACTAGACCCCTTCCTTACAGTATATACAAAAAATCAACTCAAGATGGATTAAAGCTAAATGCAAAACCTAAAACTCTAAAAATCCTGGAAGATAATCTAGGAAATACCATTTCAGACATAGGCCCTGGCAGACATTTCATGACAAAGATGCCGAAAGCAATTGCAACAAAACCAAAAATTTATAAATGACTAATTAAACTAAATAGCTTCTGCATAGCAAAAGAAACTATCAACAGAGTAAACAGGCACTATAGAGAATGGGAGAAAATTTTTATAAACTATATATCCAACAAAGGTCTACTATCCAGAATCTATAGGGAACTTAAATTAACAAGCAAAAAACAAATAACCCCATTAAAAAGTGGGAAAAGGACATGAACAGACACTTTCTAAAAGAAGACATACATACTGCTAACAAGCATATGAAAAAATGTTCATCATCATTAATCATTTGAGAAATGGAAATCAAAACCATGATGAGGTACCATCTTATACCAGTCAGAATGGCTATTATTAAAAAGTCAGAAAATAACAGATGCTGGCAAGGTTACAGAGAAAAGGGAATACTTATACACTGCTGGTAGGAATGTAAATTAGTTTAGCCATTGTGGACAGAACTTTGGCGATTTCTCAAAGAACTTAGAACTACCATTTGACCCGCAATCACATTATTGGGTACATACCCAAAGGAATATAGGAATATATATATTTTCTACCATAAAGACACATGCATGTTCAGTGCAGCATTATTTACGATAGCAAAGACATGAAATCAACCTAAATGCCCATTAACAGTAGACTAAATAAAGGAAATGTAGTACATATTCACCATGGAATATGTACTACATATGTACTATTCTTTTTTGTGTAACCATAAAAATGAAAGAAATCATGTCCTTTGCAGAAACATGGATGGAGCTGGAGGTCACTACTGTAAGTGAACTAACGCAGGAACAGAAAACCAAATACTGCGTGATCTCACTTATAAGTGGGAGCTAAACACTGAGTACACATGGACACAAAGAAGGGAACAATAGACAGTGGGGCCTACTTGAGAGTGGAGGGTTGGAGGAGGGTGAGGATAAAAATACACCTATAGCGTACTACGCTTAGGACCTGAGTAATGAAATAATCTGTACACCAAACTCCTATGACGCACAATTTACCTATATAACAAACCTGCACATGTACCCTGACCCTAAAAGTGCAAAAAATAATAAATAAACAAAAATATGGGTTCTTCATAGAGTTTGAAAAATATTTGTTTTTGCTCTTAAGCTATATTCGTTATATTTTTAAATTATGCTTTTTTCTTGAAATATTTTAAAGTAAAATTATTAGTCAACTAGGGATTCCCAGAAGCAAGTCAAGGAATTGGTAGAATGAGTAAAGCAAATTGCTTTCTCTAATGTGAGTGGGCTTCATCCAACTGGTTGAAGACCTGGAGAGAATAAAAGGCTAAGTGAAAAAAGAATTCCTTCTCTCTGCCGGGCTGTCTTTGAGCAGGAACATTGTTCTTATCCTACCTTTGGACTTATACTCAGACTGGAACTTACACCAACACCTCTCCTAGTTCAGGCCTTCAGACTTGGACTAGAAGCATACAACCAGCTCTCCTGGGTTTCCAGCTTACCAACTGTAGATCCAAGGACTTCTCAGGTTCCATAATCATGTAAGCCAGTTCTTTACAGTAGAGTTATCTATCTATCTATCTATTCCTCTTAGTTATGTTTCTTTGGAGAACTCACACTCAATCAGTGTCTGATTTCTCTCTTTTGTAACAGCATCAGTATAACGCTCTTCTTAGGCATATACATACGTCTAGATGAACGGCAACAACCTTTAACAAAAGAGCCAGGCAGATCATCTTCAGAGTGCTACTCTCCATCTAAAAATATCTGCTTTCATTATCTTAGAATCACTCAACTTTGACACTAAGACCTAATAGACCATGACTATTATCTGTTCTTCAAAGGAATACATTTTGTTTTTACAACCTAATAGTTCAGTATTGGGCAATATAGGGAGACCCTGTCTCTACAAAAATATAAGAAAAATTAGCCAAGTGTGGTGGCACATGCCTGTGGTCTCAACTACTCGTGAGGCTGAGGTGTGAGGATCACTCAGGTCTGGGAGATTGAGGCTTTGGTGAGCCATGATTGTGCCACTGCACTTCAGTCTGAGTGATAAAGACCCTGTCTCAAACAAACAAACAAACAAAAAAACAAACCAAAACAAAACACAAAACCTTCATTGGAAGGCCACCTTTCTCGAAAACAATAAAACAATTATGAGACAGTTGTGAGGTACCTACAAAATTTTTTTAATTTAAAAATTTAATTAATAAAATGTATGTTTTAGACCAGTTTTAGGTTCACCAGTAAAACTGAGTAGAAAGTATAGAGAGTTCCACATAGCTCCTTCCCCCTCCACAAGCACAGCCTACTCCATCAACATGCCCCACCAGTATGGTAAAATTGCTGAACCAACATTTACACATCATTATTCACCAAATCCAAAGTTTACGTTAGGGTTCACTCCTGGTGTTGTATATTCTATGGGTTTTTATAAATGTATGATTATTTGTATCTACCATTACAGTATCATATAGAATAGTTTCACTGCTTTAAAAATCCCCTGTGCTCCATCTATTATCCCTCCTTCTCTCAAGTCTCTGCCAAACACTGACCTTTTATTGTCTCCATAGTTTTGCCTTTTCCAGAATGTCATATAGTTGGATTCATAGAATAGATAGTCTTTTTAGACTGGCTTCATTCACTTTGTAATATAAATTCAAGTTTCACCCATGCATTTTCATGGCTTGATAGCTCATTTCTTTTTATTACAGACTAATATTCCATTTTATGAATATAGCATAGTTTACCTATTCACCTACTGAGTAACATCTTCGTTGCTTCACATTTTGGAAATTATGTGCAGTATTTTTTAGAGAATGTTTTTGAGTAATTAGAATAAAAATTAAAATGTACCCCAAAGTAATAGTGACAGGAATTATTAGAAAGATACCCATTCTTGCAAGTTTTATTTGATGTCTAGAAAATGGCACAAGTATTTTCAATAGAAATTATAATCATATTTATTACCTCACAAGGAAATCATAAATTTTATCTAAAAATGAAATCATGTTTGTCTACATTGTATTGTATTTCTATCAGTGCTCCTCAAAGTAGTCTGTCTGTGAACTGCTCCTTAAACATCTGGGACAAGATCAGAAATCCGGTTACCAGCACACAAATGAACTTACTACATGCTTCCTCAAGAAAGACTTCCTGTCAAAAAATGCCCATTGAACTGACACAGTGTGTAACAATGTAGTTCATTTACATCCTGTAGCTCATCAGCATGCATAGTTAACAGGCACTTTGCAGACTGGCACTTATCCATGGACCACACTTTGAGTAGCATCAATTAATAGTTTTATATAACACCCTTAGAGTTAGCCTTCCTTTCCCAACTCTCTAATAGTACCACTTTGTTGAATTTTCCTGAGTCCTCCTCAGTCTTCTGCAGAATATGTCAACCTCCTGAAACCCTTTCCTTTTCTGGCTTTGATTAAAATGTACACTTTGCTTATGTTTTTATCTTTGACTTTTCCTTCTTTGTCCCATTGGCCATCTTTGCATTCTTTTTCTACCACCCAAGTAAAAGCATCCTTTAGGTTCTGATCACAGACATTCTTTTCCTGCTCTCTTTCCCTCCCCATGTAGTCTCTATTCCTGAAGTGTCAACAATCATCTCTATGCAGAAGCTGTAGTGGTGATGTTTTAGGAGCCCTTGCAACATCCGGCACAAACTTTTTTGCATGTAGTAGACGCTCGGTAAATGTCTATGAAATTGAGATAATGGTGAATTACGTGCATGTGGTTTATCTGTTCTTACCACATTAAGAACCATAATAAAGAAGCACATTTATTCAGGAAGTACCAATAGCTACTGTAATAAAAATATCAAATAAGATAAAATATTAATACTAACTAGAATCTAAAAAATTAAAATTCAAAGTTTGAAAAACATTTAAAATAAAAATATCAGAGGCAAATTATAGCTTCACAGAGAAAAATAAAGTTGTCATCAGAAAAAGAAAATAGCAGGGAAAAAATGGTCCTAATACCTGGATTTTTACCTTTTTATACTGTCAGGAATTGTTCACTTCAAAATTCCATCAAATATGGTGAAAACAGATGAGTACAATCTGGAAATAAATTATTTTATTGATGTTTTTGATATCAAAATTCAAACAAAAACGGAAATTAACTCTTTGTTGTTGTTGTTGTTGAGACAGAGTCTTACTCTGTCAATCAGGCTGGAGTGCTGTGGCACAATCATGCCTCACTGCAGCCTCGACTTCCCAGGCTCAAATGACCCTCCCACCTTAGCCTCCCAAGGAGCGAGGACTACAGGCACGTGTGACCATGCCCAGCTAATTTTCTAATTTTTTGTAGAGATGGGGTGTCCCTATGTCGCATAGGCTGGTCTTGAACTCCTGGGCTCAAATGATCCTTCTGCCTCAGCCTCCTAAAGTGTTGAGATTACAGGCATGAGTATCCATGCCCAAGGGAAATATACTTTTTGAAAGCAATATACATTTGTATCACTTCCCCACAGCCTTGTTAATCTGCCTATTAGATGCCTCCTTAAATTTTTTTTCTTCTTAGGATCTTCATAATATCTTCCAAGGTAATAAATTCTTTAGCCATATTCTTCAATTTCTAACTAACGTTGTTCTAGTTATTAATGATTTCTATAAACAGATTTTATAAAATTAAGTGTAAGCCAAAGTATTCATTTGATGGAAAATAACGATCAGTTTACCATGTAATGCATAATTCAAATACTGTAAGAATGATACTCTGGTGCCTCTGTGATCAACACATGAAATACAGGTGGCAGAGAAAGAAAAGAACTTAACATGTGCAAATATGCAAGAATTAGCAATGCTGTTGTTTTTGGCATAAACATCCACTTATCACAGGACTCAGTAGTACTTGCTTGGCCTCAAGCAAAGTAATTAATCACAGGGCAGGATAGTGTAAAATTGACTAAGGAAAATATTGAACATCATGATATTTAATTTTAGTGACATTCATGCACCAATTAGACAACTGCAGGGTAATGCTTTGCTATTTAGGACAGTAGTAAATATTTATATGCTTACAGTAACCATAAAAAAGCTAAACTAAAAATAATCACTATATGTATTAAAGGACTTGGGGTTATTTTACTATTATTTTTATTAATTCTTTTTCTGAAAAAGAGATTTAGTGTATGTTGTTCCAAGTTAAAATTTAATTTTTGAGAACTGTTTTAATCAGAATGTGACAATATTCCTGCAGATCAAACGAGCAGATTCTAATTACAGCATCGAGCCCAGGGACTGCTTAGTATGTGCCCAGAAGAAAGCTGTGGCGTGGATGACTGAATGAAAGACTGAAACTGACTACTAAAAGGCTTTTAATATTCATATAGTATTTGACAGTTTACAAAGTATATTTATTTTTAATTTTAGTTTTTAAGCAAAAGGATAATTTACTGGAAGTATACTGGAGGTTTACAGACTCAATGGAGGTTGAGGAGCAGGCTAGGAATAAGGCAGAAGGCTACAGTCTTGGGGGCTGGAAGCAAAAATTACTGTCAATGTTATGCTGCCATTTATCCTTTATGTAATAAACACCACGTGTCACTACATGTGATTTCTGAGAAGCAGAAATGGTAATGAAGAGTCTACAAAGCAACCAAATAGGAAACAACATGAATCCAACATTGATTCCATTTACATATTTTAAAATCAGCAGTACTGTTACCTTCAAGCTGTTTTTGGTTGGTTGGTTTGTACGTTTTTTATGGTTTGTATGGTTGTTTGTATGTTTTGTAGTCTCAGCTACTTGAGAGGCTTAAGCAGGAGGATCTCTTGTATGGTTTTTTTTGTTGTTGTTGGCATGACTGTTCATGTATTTTGTGCACTCCTGTGCAATGGTGTAATCATGGCTCACTACAGCCTCCACCTGGGCTCAAGCGATCCTCCTGCTAAGCCTCTCAAGAAACTGAGACTGCAGGTGCATGCCACTACACCCAGCTAATTTTTTTTTATAGAGACAGGGTCTCACTATGCTGTCCAAGCTGGTCTCAAACTCCTGAGCTCAGGCAATTCTCCCCATTGGGCCTTCCAAAGGGCTGGGATTACATTTACGAGCCACCATGCCTGGCCACCTTCAAGTCTTTATAGGACACTTTCTGAGGAAATAAGACAAACTAATGTCTTAACCAATGCATACATATGTGGGTGTTTTAGGGGATAAATTCTGGAGAGGGGTTTGGGAGGGCCCACCCACATGACACAGCAAGAAACTATTCCAATCAGATAGCAACAGGGAGAATGAAGATGGTCTATGTGGGCCAGGCACTGTGGGTTCTAGGGTACAAACATCAGAAAGGAAAAGACACTGGCTCCAGCCTCAAGGAGGACAGACATCTTCATACACATAGCCTTCCTCATTTGCTTGCTCAATGGTACAGCTTCTTTCCAAATGTCTTGTGCCTGCTCTTTTCCCAACACTCTCCAGACCTCAAGCCTTTGGTCAGCATGAACATCCCTTTGCTCCCATGCTCCCTGACCCTCAACCACACTCACTCTTGTCTTTCCTCCCCATCGCCATCCATCACAATGTCCTGTTTACCTACCTCCCAACCCATTCCTCAAACTTACCCTCTTCTCTCCAGCCATCTGCTCCTTGCTTACTTCAGGCCATCATCAGCTCTTACTTAACCACTTTTCATGCCCCTAATGTGAATTATTAAAATTTGGGCTTCCTGTTCTTTATTTTTAAAATAGAGATGACAGTAATACCCATCTTACAAGTTTCTCTAGAGGATTAAATGAGTTTGATACACATAAAACATTTAGAATAGTTGCCTGAGAACAGTAAGTGCTCAATTAATTATTATTTAATATTAATTAGTTATTATTGTTATTGCTTGAGAATGTTGAAGAGAGGAAAAGGGATAAAAATAAGGTTAGAGCCCAAAATACCACGCCAAAACTGGTATACCAATTACATTATATTGCAGTCATTTGGTCACTTGTTTCTAACTCCTGCCAGACTACGAATTCATTCAGTGTCTAGAAAATGGTAGGTATGTAACAAATACTTATTTATTGAATTTTTAAAAACCTATTTATTTCTAATTACATATTATACTCATTTATAGTCTTTTATGTAATTTTAATCAAATAGCAACTAGAAAGTAGGATTATAAAATACATGAAACACAGATTGTTGTTGTTGTTGTTGTTTTAATCATGGGATTTATGCCCTTTTCTCAATTCTAAAAATTACATAGGCAGGAGCACGCCCAGCCTCTAACGGAAAAAGATGCTCAAATATTTAATTTTCCAAAATGTCATATTTGAATCACTTTACCAACACATATACGAAGTTATGTTAGACAGTCAAGACATCTGTTTCCCTGGCCAGAAACTGTAGGCGTTCATGGAGATTTAAGCTGGAGATAGCAAATGTTAGACAACAGCTTCCAGAACCTACAGAGTGGCCCGCAGCCCAGGGCTGCCCACGCTGGGCCCTGTAACTTATGTGTACCCACTGTCAGAGGGGCTTCCAAGGAAGCAGGGAGAAGAGGCTGACTTGTCCCCACCACTCGAGGCCCCTCATTTCTCTTGCTATCTCTGTTTCAATACTTCCTCACTTAATAGTGTTCAACAGTAGTTTGGTGGACTTCACTAGTGTTTAGTTGGTCACAATCTCTCTGAGATGTTACTGGTAAGGGGGCTGCCACACATAGTACATAATCTTTAATTCCTGGAAGGTGACAAGCTGAAAGTATTAAGATTTCAAAAAAGGGGAACCTTACATATGAACTTAACGCGGTGGCAGAGGGTGATCAGGATAGGGCTTCATGAGAGACATCATATTTGTTGGTTGTGAGAAACCTTGGAAGATGGACAGGGTAGACTAAGAGCTGAACAGGAAGTTACAGGTGGAAAGAATGGTCACTAGCAAAGCTGAGAAGTGCAAAGGCCCTGAGGTGGAAAGAATGTGTTTGGAGAATAGTGTGGCTACAACACTGGATAAACAGACAAGGGAACAAAGGGGAGGGTGAATGATGATGAGACAGTGTGAAGCCACTCCTGGAGCCTGGTAGGCAGGAAGTGAGGGGCTCAGGAATACCTTAGCAGGAAGGGAAAGTTAGTCATGGAGTCATCTGCACAATGGTTTGAAAAAGAACAGCCAGAGGAGGAGAAAAGTTAAATGGCTACTGGAATGCTCTAAGCAAGAGGGAAGGTGGTGACAGAGTCAGGAAATGAAAAGTTGGGAAAGGATGAAATTAAAAAGTTATTCTGACCCATCAAAAAGTGAGTGAACCTGCAGTAGCTGAGCCTAACAATTAACTGAACTTCCTTCACCGTAACACCTAGGCAGAACATGACCAGGAATTTCAAGTTAGTCCAAGAAGTGAAACAGCTCACATTTATTGAGTGTCAGGTACTATGCTTGGAGCTTTATATACCATATCTCACTTAAGTCTCTGTATCAACCCATCCAGAGAACTATGCTTGGTGATTATCAATGTATAGATGAAAAAACATAGGTTCACAGAAGTAACGGGATTTGGCTATGTTCATAGAATGGATAGTGAAGAAGATGAGTAACCCCACAAACATTTATTAAAATAGTGCCTACTATTTGCCAGGTAGTGTGGGAAACAATGGTGAACAGAACAGACAGATTAGGTCCCTGCTGCTAGATTCAAACTCAAATCTGACTCATAAGCTCATCCCTTTCTTCTTTCCACAACTACTTTGCACTTTGATGAAAGAAGTCCTGGTCTGACTGTTACAGCATCTGGCTAATGCTATGCTGTGCTCACACTGCTTAAATTAAGCCTAACATTTTTGTTATTTTTTAAAGCATTATTATCTGGCTGAAAAATGTGTTTTTTCACTTTCTTTTAAAATGGTGATGATCACAGGAACTCATAGTACTTTGCACGCAACTAATCATTCATTAATCATATTTTAAACAAGAAAAGCTGATATTAACTCACAGACCAATATAAAGGAAAAGATCCATCAAAGCTTCGGCCTTCTTACTCTTGCAGTCCCACCTTCCCTGAATCAGAACAACAATTACTTGAGCTTCAAAATAAACTGCCAAATATCAGAGTACAGAGCACAAAAATCTACTTTATACCAAAGTACTTAATTAACTTGAACATATCACACTAAAAGGAAAAAAAACATAAATAATTTGTATAGTTTTATTTTCCGGATATTAAGAATTGAAATATAAATGGAACTATAAAATATTAGAAAACATTTCTTCATTCCCTTAATAAATATTTATTGAGCCTTTATGAAACATGAGGCAACATTATGAGTATTGTGAGAGGCACAAATTACTAAGACAGGATACTCTTTCCAGATGTTTCAGTTTGATAGAGTATAAGACACAAGGAAAACAAATATTCTAGTTTAGGGCATGTGACTGTTGGGAGACAATTCTCCATGAGTTTCTTGCATTTTGGCATATATTGTGAATGAGACAACTGTTTTTTGTTCTGAACTTTCTTTTCAAGGATGTTTCTATAGCAAACAGCCTTGGAAGACAGAGTAGTATCTCCCTCCAGAGCAAGGGGTAGGTTTGTTTACAATCCTGGAAGATACAGTATCTCTATGTAGAGCAAAGGGTAGCATGCTTACTGTCCAGAATAATAATGTCTCTCTCCAGAGCAAAGGGTAGACATGTTTGCTACTCATTATAAAAGACTCCGGTTCCCTAACCTCAATGATATTCTCCCATAACACAACTCACTCACAAGCTGGCCCTCTTCATGTCATCCTGTGGGAATTGGGGCTCAGAAAAGAGGTGCAAAAATGCTGAGACTTGATTACTACTGCCATTATGAGGATAAACTCCTTTGTTTCTGATTAGGAGTCTTATGTCTTCTACCAGCATCTATAACAGTGTGGTAGCCTGACTAGTTAGCTTGCAAGTAGGGTAAAAATCTCAGAATTTTGATAGTTCCTGACAGGAGAAGGGTGCAACAATGGCAACAAAATGTTCCCCTACTTGTGTCTATGCCCTTTTGTACACCCTCTTAAAATGATTCTGATGATTCTGGACTTGGCCATCTGACTTGCTCGGCCAGCAGGGGGGACATTAGCAAACAAGACCCAAACAGAAGCTTGAGAAGCACTTGTGCCTTGAGGCTGGTCCTCTTGTGTTCTTAGGATTTAGTTGCCACGTGAAAATGCCTAGGCTAGTTTCTAAATACATGGCCCAGCTTCCCTTACCACCCCAACCAACAGCCTACCAATCACCAGCCATGTCAACAAGGCCAACTTAGATCACTAGCCTCCAATCAACCCTTTGATTAACCACTGATGCAAAAGCAAATCCAGTAGAGATCAGCTGAGCTGACAGACCAGAACAATTCAGCCTCTAGGTTTTCGGGTACTTTGTTATGCAGCAAAAGCTAACAGAAAATACTGAGTATAAGGAAAAAATTACTTCCAGTATGGTATCTATATTACAAGCTCCATAGGGCTCAGCCTATGTCTCTTAAATACCAAAACTCCAGCACTTAGCACTGCCCAGATAACAGTTAAGTGCCAACTGCTCCAACTTTATTCGGCTTTCTCCATCTGAACAATCAGTGCACAAGTCAGTGAATTTTCATCTTACAAGCAGCTTATGAGACTGAAGGAAATGCACATGAATCCAGCAGAGCACACAGCTTAAGTGGAAACGGCACAACTTGGTACTGAGGGAGACAGATGTGTGAAAATCAGCTCTTCTACTTTATATCTGGCAGTCCCTGGGCAAATTATTTAAACATATCGTAATTTAGTTCCCACACCTGCAAAATGCAAATAATGAAGTTTCTCCAGAGGCTTTATAATATAGGTATTACAAAGGAGGCACTCTTTGTGCATAACCTATTAGAGTATGAGGGGCATTGTGGTGGAAGAGTTGAGAAACTGGGAGTAGCAGCAAACACCGTTAAATGCCAACAAGTGAAATGGTCTCTTGCACTCACATGCGCGCACGTATTGATACGCTCTCCCCTCTCTCTCTCACACATACACAAATGTGCGAAATCAAATCATTTCCCAAAATGAAATTCAAAACCGGGATTCCAGCCAAGATGGCTGACTAGAAGCAGCTAGTGCGCATTGCTCTCAGAGAGAGAAGAGAGTAGTGAGTAAACATTAGCTCTTCAACTGGATTATCCAAGTGGACACTTTCATCAAGGAAGCAATACAATCCACACAGAAGTGAGAAGAGTGAGACAGGACAACTGCCCACCGGGGAGAGGCGAAGAGCCAGGGGAGGCCCCCCACAGCCAGGAAACGGTGAGTGAGTCAGTGAGAGTCCCTGGGGACCCACACTTCTGCCATGGACCTTTGCAACCCTGGGTCCCGGGAGCCATGGATCCCCTGGTACCGGACACCGGCAGCTGCATCTCTGGCAACAAGAGAGGTCAGGCTCCCGCACAGGCCCACCAGGATGGGGGCAAATCCACAGGGCTGAGCAGCAGATGGAGTGCACGCCTCACCTCCACTGCACCTCGCCAGACATGGCCCACTGGCCTGGGACTCTACTGCGGCCATCGCAGCCCTGCCTGAGCTCTCGGGTCGCAGGCAGGCCGCCATTTCTGCCGCTCGGAAGCCCTCGCTCTTGCTGCCCTCAGGCTGGGGAGGGAGCACAGTGATTAGGGACTATCATAGACCCCCAGCACAGCGCAGCCACCTTACCCGGAAAAGCGGCCTGTTTTCAATGCCGTCCCCCGCCCCTGCTACTCCTCACTGGGCAGGGCCTCTAGATCTGCGACCTTGGCCACTCCCTGCTAGGGCTCTCCGCGGTAGCAGCTCTGCACTTTCTTGGAAGGGATCTCCCGGAGGTAACAGGCAAGCTACTACTTTTGCTGCTCTGAAGCCCTCGCTCCTGTGGCTCTCCGGCTTGGGAAGGAACGCAGTGATCAGGCACTAAGGCAGAGCTGCCTTACAGAAAAGCGGCCAGTTTTCCACACAGGTCCCCACCCTGCTACCCCTCAATGGGCAGGATCTCTCCACCTGGGCGCCTAGCACAACCGCCCTGCCCTGGCCTGAACATGTCAGTTGGTGGCAGCTCTGTGTTTCTTTGGGGAGGAAATCCCCAGAGACAACCCATAGCCCCTCTGCCATTACAGCTGCGATGGGTACCACCCTTACTGCATTGGGGAAGGAACAAAGGGCCTGGTTGCTATGCTGACATCCCTAGCACACCCAGCCACCATACGGAGAGAAACCCAATGTCTCTTCTCTGTGAGCTCCCACCCTGTATTCTTCCCCAGGAAGGACCCTTCAGCTGGAATTGCAGAGCAGACACCCCACCCCCAGCTGAGCATTTCCACTGCTAGTGGCTCTAAGTTTCCCTGGGAGGGGCTCCCAGAGGCAACCAACAGACCCTCTGCCACCGCCAGTGCACTGGTCCTGCCCTTGCTGCCCTTGCATTGGGGAAGGAACAAAGAACCTGAGGGCTTCACCTGCACTCCCAGCACCAAAACCGCCATAAGGAGAGGAGCCCAGTCTCTCCTCCCCATGAGGCCTTGACCCCCTGCGCTTCACCAAGCAGGGCCAGTAGTGCAGTCACCACAAGCCCCGATTAAACATTCCCATTAGTAACGGGTCTGTGATTCTCTGTGGTGGAGCTCCTAGACAAAACCGAAAGCCCCTCTGCCACTGCCACTGCAGTGGTACTTCCCTTGCTGCCCTTGGACTAAGGAAGGAACAAAGACCTTAAGTGCTTTACCTACACCTCCAGAAACCACAGCCATCTTAAAGAGAAGAGGCCAGTCTAGCTCACCTATGAGCCTCCAATGCTCCCTGCTCATCACCAAGCAAGCCCCGCCCCCACCCCAGCTTGGGCCCATAACACAGCTGCCCAACTCTGGGCCAATCACACCAACTGGTAGCAGCTCCGTATTTCTCTGGGCTGGAGCCCCAAGAGACAAGTGAATGGCTCTCTGCTACAGCCACTGCCAAGGTCCCTCCCTCTGCTGCCTCCAAGTTGGAGAGGACACACAAAGCCTGAGCTCACCCCAGAGCTGCAGTGTGCACCCTGGGAGTGCCAATCCAAGATCTGCAGCCAGAAATTGACTGGGAGAAGAAACTACACTTTCAGAGCACTAAGAGGGAGCACAGCTGAAATCGAGAGGAAATACAGAGGAGCCACGTGGTTGAGCAAGAACTTACCATTATACTTAAGCACCATTTACTGGATCACAGCCCAAACTTCAACACCAAAAATACTTGCTAACATAACCCCCACCCCCATAAAAACAAGGACAAGAAATCAGCTGCAAATAAAGATCCTGCACAAAGCCTCAGCCCTTTGAAAACATCCAGAAAAGAGGCAACTGAATGTACTCAAATTGTAACTGTGAAAGGAACATCAGCACACAGAGATAAGAAAGAACTAGTACAAAAACTCTGGCAAGTCAAAAAGCCAGAGTGTCTTTTTCTCCAAACAACTGCACTAGTTCCCCAGCAAGTGTTCTTAACCAGGCTGAAATGGCTGAAATGACAGACAGAGAATTCAGAATATGGATGAGAATGAAGATCATCACAATTCAGGAGAAAGTTGAAACCCAATCCAAGGAATCCAAGGATTACAATAAAATTATATAAGAGCTGAAAGATGAAATGGCCATTATAAGAAAGAAACAAACTGATCTGATAGAGCTGACAAACAGTACAAGAATTTCATAATAATAATCGCACTTTTTTTTAACAGCAGAATAGACCAAGCTGAGGAGAGAATCTCAGAGCTTGAAGGCTGGTTTCTGAACTAATTCAGTCAGCCAAAAGTTTAAAAAATGAGTAAATCCTCCAAGAAATATTGGATTATGTAAAGAGACCACAGGTAAGACAAATTGGTATCCCTGGAAGAGAGGGGGGGAGAAAAAGCAACTTGGAAAACATATTTGAGGATATTATCCAGAAAAATTTCCCAAGTTTCATTAGAGAGGTGAACATTCAAATTCAGGAGATGTAGAGAATTTCTGCAAGATACTATACAAGACGACCATCCCCAAGACGCACAGTTGTCAGATTCTCCAAGGCTCACATGAAAGAAAAAAATATTAAAGGCAGCTAGAGATAAAGGGCAAATCACATATACAAACAGAAACCCATCAAGCTAACAGCATGCCTTTCAAAAGAAACCCTACAAGCCTGAAGAGATTGGGGCCTATATTCAGCATTCTTAAAGAAAAAAATTCCATCCAAGAAATTCATATCCAGCCAAACTCAGCTTCATAAGTGAAGGAGAAATAAAATCCTTTTCAGACAAGCAAATGCTAAGGGAATTCATTACCAACAGACCTGGCTTAACATAGGCACTTAAGGGAGTGCTAAATATGGAAATGAAACATCATTACCAGCTACCACAAAAACACTTATGTATATAGGCCACTGATACAATAAAGCAACCACACAATCAAGTCTGCATAATAACCAGCTAACAACACAATGAAAGGAAAATCCACACATGTCAATATTTTTTTTATTATACTTTAAATTTTAGGGTACATGTGCACAACGTGCAGGTTTGTTACATATGTATACATGTGCCATGCTGGTGTGCTGCACCCATTAACTTCTCATTTAACATTAGGTATATCTCCTAATGCTATCCCTCCTCCCTCCCCCAACCCCACAACAGGCCCCAGTGTGTGATGTTCCCCTTCCTGTCTCCATGTGTTCTCATTGTTCAATTCCCACCTGTGAGTGAGAACATGCGGTGTTTGGTTTTTTGTCCTTGCAACAGTTTGCTGAGAATGATGGTTTCCATCTTCATCCATGTCCCTACAAAGGACATGAACTCATCCTTTTTTATGGTTGCATAGTATTCCATGGTGTATATGTGCCACATTTTCTTAATCCAGTCTATCATTGTTGGACATTTGGGTTGGTTCCAAGTCTTTGCTATTGTGAATAGTGCTGCAATAAACATACGTGTGCATGTATCTTTATAGCAGCATGATTTATAATCCTTTGGGTATATACCCAGTAATGGGATGGCTGGGTCAAATGGTATTTCTAGTTCTAGATCCCTGAGGAATCGCCACACTGACTTCCACAATGGTTGAACTAGTTTACAGTCCCACCAACAGTGTAAAAGTGTTCCCATTTCTCCACATCCTCTCCAGCACCTGTTGTTTCCTGACTTTTTAATGATTGCCATTCTAACTGGTGTGAGATGGTATCTCACTGTGGTTTTGATTTGCATTTCTCTGATGGCCAGTGATGATGAGCATTTTTTCATGTGTCTTTTGGCTGCATAAATGTCTTCTTTTGAGAAGTGTCTGTTCATATCCTTCACCCACTTGTGGATGGGGTTGTTTGTTTTTTTCTTGTAGATTTGTTTGAGTTCATTGTAGATTCTGGATATTAGCCCTTTATCAGATGAGTAGATTGCACAAATTTTCTCCCATTCTGTAGGTTGCCTGTTCACTCTGATGGTAGTTTCTTTTGCTGTGCAGAAGCTCTTTAGTTTAATTAGATCCCATTTGTCTATTTTGGCTTTTGTTGCCATTGCTTTTGGTGTTTTAGACATGAAGTCCTTGCCCATGCCTATGTCCTGAATGGTATTGCCTAAGTTTTCTTCTAGGGTTTTTATGGTTTTAGGTCTAACATGTAAGTCTTTCATCCATCTTGAATTAATTTTTGTATAAGGTGTAAGGAAGGGATCCAGTTTCAGCTTTCTACATATGGCTAGCCAGTTTTCCCAGCACCATTTATTAAATAGGGAATCCTTTCCCCATTTCTTGTTTTTGTCAGGTTTGTCAAAGATCAGATGGTTGTAGATATGCCGCATTATTTCTGAGGGCTCTGTTCTGTTCCATTGGTCTATATCTCTGTTTTGGTACCAGTACCTTGCTGTTTTGGTTACTGTAGCCTTGCAGTATAGTTTGAAGTCAGGTAGCGTGATGCCTCCAGCTTTGTTCTTTTGGCTTAGGATTGTTTTGGCAATGCAGGCTCTGTTTTGGTTCCATATGAACTTTAAAGTAGTTTTTTCCAATTCTGTGAAGAAAGTCATTGGTAGCTTGATGGGGATGGCATTGAATCTATAAATTACTTCAGGCAGTATGGCCATTTTCATGATATTGATTCTTCCTACCCATAAGCATGGAATGTTCTTCCATTTGTTTGTATCCTCTTTTATTTCATTGAGCAGTGGTTTGCCAACGAGAACAAAGACACAACATACCAGAATCTCTGGGACACATTCAAAGCAGTGTGTAGAGGGAAATTTATACCACTAAATGCCCACAAGAGAAAGCAGGAGAGATCTAAAATTGACACCCTAACATCACAATTAAAAGAACTAGAGAAGCAAGAGCAAACACATTCAAAAGCTAGCAGAAGGCAAGAAATAAGTAAGATCAGAGCAGAACTGAAGGAAATAGAGACTCAAAAAACCCTTCAAAAAATCAATGAATCCAGGAGCTGGTTTTTTGAAAAGATCAACAAAATTGATAGACCGCTAGCAAGACTAATAAAGAAGAAAAGAGAGAAGAATGAAATAGATGCAATAAAAAATGATAAAGGGGATATCACCACTGATCCCATAGAAATACAAACTACTGGGGGGTGGAGCCAAGATGGCCGCATAGGAACAGCTCCAGTCTACAGCTCCCAGCGTGAGCGATGCAGAAGACAGGTGATTTCTGCATTTCCAACTGAGGTACTGGGTTCATCTCACTGGGGAGTGTCAGGAAGTGGGTGCAGGACAGTGGATGCAGTGCACCAAGCATGAGCTGAAGCAGGGCGAGGCATCGTCTCACCCAGGAAGTGCAAGGGGTCAGGGAATTCCCATTCCTAGTCAAAGAAAGGGGTGACAGATGGCACCTGGAAAATCGGGTCACTCCCACCCTAATACTGTGCTTTTCCAACGGTCTTAGCAAATGGCACACCAGGAGATTATATCCCGTGCATTGCTTGGAGGGTCCTACACCCACGAAGCCTCGCTCATTGCTAGCACAGCAGTGGGAGATCCAACTGCAAGGCAGCAGCCAGGCTGGGGGAGGGGCGCCCGCCATTGCCAAGGCTTGAGTAGGTAAACAAAGCAGCCAGGAAGCTCGAATTGGGTGGAGCCCACCACAGCTCAAGGAGGCCTGCCTGCCTCTGTAGACTCCACCTCTGGGGGCAGGGCACAGCCAAACAAAAGGCAGCAGAATCCTTTGCAGACTTAAATGTCCCTGTCTGACAGCCTTGACGAGAGTAGTGGTTCTCCCAGCATGCAGTTGGACATCTAAGAACGGACAGACTGCCTCCTCAAGTGGGTCCCTGACCCCTGAGTAGCCTAACTGGGAGGCCCCCCCCATTAGGGGCAGACTGACACCTCACACGGCCGGATACTCCTCTGAGACAAAAATTCCAGAGGAACGATCCGGCAGCAACATCTGCTGTTCACCAATATCTGCTGTTCTGCAGCCTCCACTGGTGATACCCAGGCAAACAGGGTCTGGAGTGGACCTCCAACAAACTCCAAAAGACCTGCAGCTGAGGGTCCTGACTGTTAGAAGGAAAACTAACAAACAGAAAAGACATCCACACCAAAACCCCATCTGTACGTCACCATCATCAAAGACCAAAGGTAGATAAATCCACAAAGATAGGGAAAAAACAGAGCAGAGAAGCTGGAAACTCTAAAAATCAGAGCACCTCTCCTCCTCCAAAGGACACAGCTCCTCACCAGCAATGGAACAAAGCTGGACGGAGAATGACTTTGACGAGTTGAGACAAGAAGGCTTCAGACAATCAAACTACTCTGAGCTAAAGGAGGAAGTTCGTACCCATGGCAAAGAAGTTAAAAACCTTGAAAAAAAATTAGATGAATGGCTAACTAGAATAACCAATTCTAGAGAAGTCCTTAAAGGACCTGATGGAACTGAAAACCAAGGCACGAGAACTACGTGACAAATGCACAAGCCTCAGTAGCTGATTCGATCAACTGGAAGAAAGGGTATCAGTGATGGAAGATGAAATGAATGAAATGAAGCAAGAAGAGAAGTTTAGAGAAAAAAGAATAAAAAGAAATGAACAAAGCCTCCAAGAAATATGGGACTATATGAAAAGACCAAATCTACGTCTGATTGGTATACTTGAAAGTGACGAAGAGAATGGAACCAAGTTGGAAAACACTCTGCAGGATATGATCTAGGAGAACTTCCCCAACCTAGCAAGGCAGGCCAACATTCACATTCAGGAAATACAGAGAATGCCACAAAGATACTCCTCGAGAAGAGCAACTCCAAGACACATAATTGTCAGATTCACCAAAGCTGAAATGAAGGAAAAAATGATAAGGGCAGCCAGAGAGAAAGACCAGGTTACCCACAAAGGGAAGCCCATCAGACTAACAGCTGATCTCTTGGCAGAAACTCTACAAGCCAGAAGAGAGTGGGGGCCAATATTCAACATTCTTAAAGAAAAGAATTTTCAACCCAGAATTTCATATCCAGCCAAACTAAGCTTCATAAGTGAAGGAGAAATAAAATCTGTTACAGACAAGCAAATACTGAGAGATTTTGTCACCACCAGGCCTGCCCTACAAGAGCTCCTGAAGGAAGCACTAAAATGGAAAGGAACAATTGGTACCAGCCACTGCAAAAACATGCCAAATTGTAAAGACCATCAAGGCTAGGAAGAAACTGCATCAACTAACGAGCAAAATAACCAGCTAAGATCATAATGACAGGATCAAATTCACACATAACAATATTAACCTTAAATGTAAATGGGCTAAATGCTCCAATTAAAAGACACAGACTGGCAAATTGGATAAAGAGTCAAGACCCATCACTGTACTGTATTCAGGAAACCCATCTCACGTGCAGAGACACACATAGGCTCAAAATAAAAGGATGGAGGAAGATCCACCAAGCAAATAGAAAACAAAAAAAGGCAGGGGTTGCAATCCTAGTCTCTGATAAAACAGACTTTAAACCAACAAAGATCAAAAGAGACAAGGCCATTACTTAATGGTAAAGGGATCAATGCAACAAGAAGAGCTAACTATCCTAAATATATATGCACCCAATACAGGAGCACCCAGATTCATAAAGCAAGTCCTTAGAGACCTATAAAGAGACTTAGACTCCCACACAATAATAATGGGAGACTCTAACATCCCACTATCAACATTAGACAGATCAATGAGACAGTTAACAAGGATATCCAGGAATTGAACTCAGCTCTGCACCAAGCGGACCTAATAGACATCTACAGAACTCTCCACCCCAAATCAACAGAATATACATTCTTCTCAGTGCCACACTGCACTTATTCCAAAATTGACCACTTAGTTGGAAGTAAAGCACTCCTCAGCAAATGTAAAAGAACAGAAATTATAACAAACTGTCTCTGAGACCACAGTGCAATCAAACTAGAACTCAGGATTAAGAAACTGACTCGAAACTGCTCAACTACATGGAAACTGAACAACCTGCTCCTGAATGACTACTGGGCATATAACGAAATGAAGGCAGAAATAAAGATGTGCTTTGAAACCAATGAGAACAAAGACACAACATATCAGGATCTCTGGGACGCATTCAAAGCAGTGTGTAGAGGGAAATTTATACCACTAAATGCCCACAAGAGAAAGCAGGAGAGATCTAAAATTGACACCCTAACATCACCATTAAAAGAACTAGAGAAGCAAGAGCAAACACATTCAAAAGCTAGCAGAAGGCAAGAAATAAGTAAGATCAGAGCAGAACTGAAGGAAATAGAGACACAAAGAACCCTTCAAAAAATCAATGAATCCAGGAGGTGGTTTCTTGAAAAGATCAACAAAATTGATAGACCGCTAGCAAGACTAATAAAGAAGAAAAGAAGAAGAATGAAATAGACGCAACAGAAAATGATAAAGGGATATCACCACCGATCCCACAGAAATACAAACTACCATCAGAGAACACTATAAACACCTCTATGCAAATAAACTAGAAAATCTAGAAGAAATGGATAAATTCCCCGACACATACACCCTCCCAAGACTAAATCAGGAAGAAGTTGAATCTCTGAATAGACCAATTAACAGGCTCTGAAATTGAGGCAACAATTAATAGCTTACCAACCAAATAAAGTCCAGCACCAGATGAATTCACAGCTGAATTCTACCAGAGGTATATGGAGGAGCTGGTACCATTCCTTCTAAAACTATTCCAATCAATAGAAAAAGAGGGAATCCTCCCTAACTCGTTTTATGAGGCCAGCATCATCCTGATACCAAAGCCTGGCAGAGACACAACAAAAAAAGAGAATTTTAGACCAATATCCTTGATGAACATCAATTCAAAAATCCTCAATAAAATACTGGCAATCCAAATCCAGCAGCACATCAAGAAGCTTATCCACCATGATCAAGTGGGCTTCATCCCTGGGATGCAAGGCTAGTTCAACATATGCAAATCAATAAACATAATCCAGCATATAAACAGAACCAATGACAAAAACCACATGATTATCTCAATAGATGCAGAAAAGACCTTTGAGAAAATTCAACAACGCTTCATGCTAAAAACTCTCAACAAATTAGGTATTGATGGGACGTATCTCAAAACAATAAGAGCTATCTATCACAAACCCACGGCCAATATCATACTGAATGGGCAAAAACTGGAAGCATTCCCTTGAAAACTGGCACAAGACAGGGATGCCCTCTCTCACCACTCCTATTGAACATAGTGTTGGAAGTTGTGGCCAGGGCAATCAGGCAGGAGAAGGAAATAAAGGGTAGTCAATTAGAAAAAGAGGAAGTCAAATTGTCCCTGTTTGCAGATGACATGATTGTATATCTAGAAAACCCCATCGTCTCAGCCCAAAATCTCCTTAAGCTGATAAGCAACTTCAGCAGCATCTCAGGATACAAAATCAATGTGCAAAAATCACAAGCATTCTTATGCACCAGTAACAGACAAACAGAGAACCAAATCATGAGTGAACTCCCATTCACAATTGCTTCAAAGAGAATAAAATACCTAGGAATCCAACTTACAAGGGATGTGAAGGACCTCTTCAAGGAGAACCACACATGTCAATATTAACCTCCAATGCAAATGAACTAAATGCCCCAATTAAAAGGCAGAGAGTGGCAAGTTTGATAAAGGAAAGACCCAATGATGTGCTGTCTTCAAGAGACCCATCTCACATGCAATGACCCCCAAAGGCTCAATGTAAAGGGATAAAGAAAAATCTACCAAGCAAACAGAAAATGGAAAAAAGCAGGGTTGCTCTTCTAATTTCAGACAAAACAGACTTTAAGGCAACACCAATAAAAGAAGACAAAGAAGGGCATTACCTAATGGTAAAGGGTCAATTCAACAAAAAGACATAACTATACTAAACATATATTCACGCAACACAGGAGCACTCAGATTAATAAACAGAATTCTTGGGGACCTATAAAGAGACTTAAATAACCACATAATAATACTGGGAGACTTCAACACCTCACTGATACTATTAGATAGATCATTGAGGCAGAGAACTAACCAAGATATTCAGGACCTGAACTCAACACTTGACTGAATGGGCCTAACAGATATCTACAGAACTCCTCATCCAAAAACAACAGAATATATATTTTTATCATATGCACATGGCACATACTCTGAAATTGATGACTCAATTAGCCATAAAACAATCCTCAGCAAATTAAAAAAAACTGACATTATACCGATCACACTCTCAGACCAAAGTGTAATAAAAATAGAAATCAATACTAGGAAAATCACTCAAAACTACACAAACACATGGAAATAAACAACTTGCTCCTGAATGATTTTCGGGTAAACAATGAAATTAAGGTAGAAGTCAAAAAATTATTTAAAAATAATGAGAACAAAGATACAACACATGAGCATCTCTGAGACAAAGCTAAAGCAGTGTTAAGAGAGGAGTTTACAGTACTAAATGCCCATATCAAAAAGTTAGAAAGATGTCACGTTAACAATCTAACATCACACCTAGAAAAACTAGAGAAACAAGAGCAAACCAATCACAAAGCTAACAAAAGACCAGAAATAACCAAAATCAATGCTGAACTGAAGGAAATTGAGATTCTAAAAATCATATAAAAGATCAATGGAACTAGGAGTTTGTTCTTCAAAAGAATAAATAAGATAAATAGACAGCAAACTAGACTAATAAAAGAAAGACAGAAAATCCAAATAAATGCAATCAGAAATGAAAAAGGGAATATTACTTCCAACTTCACAGAAATACAAAAAAAACCTCAAAGACTACAAACCTCTATGTGCACAAGATATAATTTAGTAGAAATGGATAAATTCATGGAAACATACAACCTCCCAAATTGAACCAGGAAAAAATTTGAATCCCTGTACAGACCAATAAGAAGTTCCAAAATTGAATCAGTAAGAAGAAGCCTACTGATATGGTTTGGCTTTATCCCCACCCAAATCTCATTTTGAACTGTAGCTTTCATAATCACCATGTGTCCTGGGAGGGACCTGGTGGGAGGTAATTGAATTATGGGGGCAGTTACCTCCATGCTGTTCCTGTGATAGTGAGTGAGTTCTCATGAGATCTAAGGGTTTTATGAGGGGCTTTTCCCCCGCCTGCCCCCCCGCCCCACCACTTTGCTCTGCACTTCTTGCTGCCACCATGTGAAGAATGACATGTTTGCTTCCCCTTCTGCCATGATTGTAAGTTTATTGAGGTCTCCCCAGCCCTGTAGAACTGTGAGTCAATTAAATCTCTTTCCTTTATAAATTACCCAGTCTCAGGTATGTCTTTATTAGCAGCATGAGAACGGACTAATATACCTATTAACCTGAACATGCCCAGGACCAAATGGATTCACAGCTGACTTCTACCAGATATATAAAAAAGAGCTGGTACAATTCCTACTAAAACTACTTTTACAAACTAAGGAAGAAAAACTCTTCTCTATGTCTTTCTATGGGACAAGTATCATCCTGATACCAAAACCTGGCAGAGACACAACAAAAAAAGAAAATTCAGGCCAGTATCCTTGATGAACATAAATGTAAAAATCCACAACAAAATACTAGCAAATCAAATCCAGAAGCACATCAAAAAGCTAATCCACCACAATCAAGTAGGCTTTATACTTGAAATATAAGGTTGGTTCACTATATGCAAATAAATAAATGTGATTCATCACATAAAGAAAACCAAAAACAAAAACCACATGATCATCTCAATAGATTTAGAAAAGGCTTTTGATAAAAATCAACTTCCCTTCATGTTAAAAGCCCTCAAAAAACTAGGCATTATATGACTATGCCTCAAACTAACAAGAGCCATCTATGACAAACCCACACCAACATCATACTGAATAGGTAAAAGCTGGAGCATTCCCTTTGAGAACTAGAACATGACAAGAATGGCTACCCTCAGCACTCCTATTCAACATAGTACTGGAAGTCCTAGCCAGAGTGATCAGGAAACAGAGAGAAATAAAAGGCATCCAAATAGGAGGAGAGGAATCAAACTATCCCTGTTTGCAGATGATGTGATTCCATACTTAGAACTCTCCACATAGTCTCTGCCCCATATCTCCTAAATCTGATAAACAACTTCAGCAAAGTTTCAGGATACAAAATCAATTGTACGAATATCAGTAGCATTTCTATACACCAACAACATCCAAGCTGAGAGCCAAATCAAGATTGCAATTTCATTCACAATAGTCACAAAAAGAATAAAATACCTAGGAAGACAGCCAACCGGAGAGGTAAAAGAGCTCTACAAAGAGAATTACAAAACACTTCTCATTGAAATTAGCGATGATACCAACAAGTGGAAAAATATTTCATGCTCATGGATAGGAAGAATCAATGTCGTGAAAATGGCCATACTGCCTAAAGCAATGTACACATTCAATGTTATTCCTATCAAACTACCAATGATGTTTTTCACAGAATTAGAAAAAACCTATTCTAAAATTCATATGGAACCATAAAAGAGCCCAAATAGCCAAAGCAATCCTAAGCAAAAAGAACAAAGCTGTAGTATTGTTTGTAGTATAGTTTGAAGTCACATTACCCAAGTTCAAACTATACTACAAGGCTACAATAACCAAAACAGCATGATACCAGTATAAAAACAGGCACATAGACAAATGGAACAGAATAGAGAGCCCAGAAATAAAGCTGCACACCTACAACCATCTGATCTTTGACAAAGTCAATGAAAACAAGCAATGGGAAAAGACCAAATTCAATAAGTGATGCTGAAATAACTGGCTAGCCATATGTCAAACATTGAAACTAGACCCTTTTCTTTCACCAGGTACAAAAATCAACTCAAGAGGGATTAAAGACTTAAATGTAAAACCTAAAATGATAAAAACCCTGGAAGATAATCTAGGAAATACCATTCTGGACATAGGTCCTGACAAATATGTCATGACAAAGACACCAAAAGCAATTCCAACAAAACCAAAAATTGACAAATGGGACCTAATTAAACTAAAGAGCTTATGGACAGCAACAGAAACTATCAACAAACACACCCCACAAAATGGGGAAAATATTTTGCAAACTATGCATCTGACAAAGATCTACTATCCAGAATCTATAAAGAAGTTAAACAAATTAGCAAGCAAAAAATAAACAACACCATAAAAAAAGGGGGCAAAAGACATGAACAGACACATTTCAAAAAAAGACATACATGCAGCCAACAAGCATATAAAAAAAGTGCTCAACATTACTAATCATTAGAGAAATGCAACTCAAAACCACAATGAGATACTATCTCACACCAGTCAGAATGACTATGATTAAAAAGTAAAAAAATAGCAGATGATGGAGAGGTTGCAGAGAAAAGAGAATGCTGATACACTGCTGGTGGCAATGCAAATTAGTTCAGTCATTGTGGAAAGCCGTTTGGCAATTTCTCAAAGAACTTAAAACAGTATTACCATTTAACCCAGCAATCCCATTACTGGGTATAGACCTAAAGTATTACAAATCATTCTACCATAAAGACACCTGCATGTGTATGTTCACTGTAGCGCTATTCACAATAGCAAAGACATGGAATCAACTTAAATGACCATCAGTGGTAGACAGGATAAAGAAAATGTGGTATGTATATATTGTGGAATACTACACAGTCATAAAAAAGAATGAGATCATGTCCTTTGCAGCAACATGGATGGAGCTGGAGGCCATTATTCTAAGCTAACTAACATGGGAACAGAAAACCAAACACCACATATTCTCACTTATAAGTGAGAGCTAAACACGGAGAATACTTGGATGCAAAGAAGGGAACAACAGACACTGGGGCCTACTTAATGGTGGAGGTTGGGGGAAGGGAGAAAATTGAAAAACTAGCTATTGAGTATTATGCTTATTACCTGGGTGATGAAATAATCTGTACACCAAACCCTCATGAAACATAATTTACTGACATAACAAACCTGCAGATGTACCCTTGAACCTAAAATAAAAGTTCAAAAAAAAATCCAATACTGAAATGCTGAAACCTAAGTAGAGAGAAGTTAACACCAAGAAGGCTATATTACGGTCCATTAAAAGACAAAATTCCTATTCCATAATCTGCATACAATCTGAAGTGTTTTGCTGATCCAAAAGCCCCTCTGAATAATATGACCTTTCTGAAAGAAGAATACCTGACAATGTGAGTGAGGGTGTGTGAAATGTATAATTATATTAATGGAACTAAAAGGCCACTTTACAGATACTCTGTATCATCTTTGTAGTTTAGAATTAAATCCCTACTTTTTATTTCAGAAACAGACATTTCAAGTAATTACCTCTTTATCTTCTACATTACTCAGTTTCATCACATTTAATACGCTTTTTAAAAAAGGCTGTCTTCTATGCTTTGGCATCTTTGAAAAATCTCTGTGACTGCTACTTGGCAATTAAGTGCAGTTGATATTGTCTCTTAAATAACAAAACCAACAGTATTATTAGAAATATTCAAACCAATCAACAAATTGCTCATGGGCCTAAGTTGGTGTCTGTAACATTTAGGCTTTACTGGGGGAAATTAAAAAAACAACACAACACAATTAAATTGTTTATATTCCCATTTATATGGAGATTCATACCATTATGTTCCAAAAGTATTAGTCACTTGTTAACTGAAAAAACATTGAAAAGAAAATTAAATAGGCATTGAAATAATGTATATTTAGAAATTAATGTTTCAAAACATTCTGGCTAATAATTGTCCAGGTTTGCTATTTTATGTCCATATATGAAGCAGACTATCACACTCGTTAAGAGTCAAACATAGATTTCGATTCCAGATCTGCCATTTAGGAACTGTGTGACTTCTTACTGATCCTGAGTTAGTGCAAATTACTTAGTCTTTGTTATTGTTTCCATATATGCAAAATGGTCATTTTAATAATATGTATATATATGTGCACAATGGGTTGTTGTGAGGATCAAATGAGATATGCATATAAAATCCTTTGCTCACCATGTGAATCACAAGAAGTGCTAATAAGTGGCATTTAATCAGCTATCACTATATTATGTACTTTCATCTTCAAGAAAAACAGCAATCTTATTACCACATGTAATTTGCTGTTGGAAATCAACCCCAAAGCTCTGGTAAACAAGATGTGTCTTCATTAGCCGCATGCATGTACTGACCATGAAGGTCCATTAGGCCTATGAATCTCTGTCCTTGGAGCAAATAATTAGAAAGCATTAAGAGTATATATAGGCTGGCCGCGGTGGTGTGTGTCTGTAATCCCAGCACTTTGGGAGGCCGAGGCGGGCAGATTACTTGAGGTCAGGAGTTCGAGACCAACCTGGCCAACTTGGTGAGACCCCGTCTCTACTAAAACTACAAAAATTAGCCAGGTGTGGTGGCATGTCCCTGTAATCCCAGCTACTCAGGAGGCTAAGGCAGGAGAATCACTTGAACCCAGGAAGCAGAGGTTGCAGTGAGCCAAGATTGCGCCATTGGCACTCCAGCCTGGGTGAAAGAGCGAGACTTTGTCTCAAAAACAAACAAAACAAAACAAAACAAAAATATATATATATATCCGAAACAATACATATACTTAAAGACTTTTAAATTTTAACAAATTGTCTTATAGCTTGGTCTTTGATCCTGAATCCAGAAGCATCCTCTCACTCCAGTCTGCACCCCCACATGAAGCACTACAGTGCCACATTTTCCCATGGTGGTAAAGTGCCAAGCACTCCTTGGCTCAGATGCCAAGGGAGGTCTGTTCTACATTGGAGGGACATCCAGGTGCCCTGCCCAGAGAGGACCCAATGGGGCCCCAGGAAGCATTCTACCCAGGAAAGAACAAAGGCCCCCACCATTCAGCTCTGGGGGTACCACCTAATTGGCTCCTGGTTTAGTGACAGTTTGGGAAACATTGTCATCCTCTCTTTATCAATATTTTACGAGAAACAAACAATGCTGACTTACCCGGAAATAGTCACTGCATGCTGCTAGGACTGCCTTGTGAGCATGGAATTTCTGTTCCTCAGCAATCAGGGTGATGTCGCAGAGGATGCCATCACTCCTCTGCTGATTCAGCGCTGCCAGGACACTGTCATTGTGAGATTCGGAGTGGCAGAGCCTCTGGCCTGTCAGCATTTCTTGAATACTACAAAGGAGAGCAATCAAGTCAACATTTTTCCTTTTCCCAGCCCTGTGGGCCAGCTGCTCTCTCATTCCTTGAACATCGACTGAGGCAACACGGGTTCCAGTGCACTCTATGAGTGTGACCATCTGTTCCCTCATTTTCTTTCTCTCCACCATTCTCTTGTTCTCCCTTTTTCTTATTCTCTCTGCTTCCCTCCCTGCAGGGTCTTTCTCTCTTTTACTGGTGCATCTCTTTCTGCATTTGTGTTTGTGTGTGTTCATCTGTGGCTGCATACTGACCCAGGTGTCTGGACCTGCAAGCCTCTGTTTCTGGGTCCCGTCCCTTCAGTGTGTGAACATCTCTGAGTGCAAAACTTCCTCTGGATGTGCATCTGGGCATGTGTATATGTGTGTGTGACCCTTCCCACTCTGTCCCCTCTCTCTAATTCCCTGATTCCTTCCCCACCTTTGTACCTTACCATGTCTCCCACAGGACACAAGACTCTGTTAACACATACAAGAAAACTGAGCAAATGTTAGGACAAAAAGGGCTGCAAATGACCATTCCATGTAAAAGGCAATTAAACCAGAGAAGCTTATTATTAAACTTCGGAAATTGTGCACCATAAGAACATCAAAAGGAATGCATTGTAAATGAAAACAAATTTAAAGCTGAAAGTAAAATTTATCTATTATCAGCATTTAGTTTCTATGTGTGATCATTATACTGGATTTATGAATGACTATATAATTTTCTTTTTGTTCTACTTTGTGAGATTGCTAACCTCACACATTGTGAAACTTACCCCTTCACTCTCTACCCCAACCTAAAACATTTATCCTTATGTCCTTTCAAAAGTCCTAGGTGAAGCTCTAGATCATTCTACAATAATACAGAAGTAATGCCATAAACACAAAATGCAAACTTTCACTTTACAGACAGCTATGGACATTTCCAGCTTATATCAACGGGAATCTATACAGTGCTCTAAAATCTCAGAACTGGTATTGGACTAAGACAGGTGATCTGCCAGGAATAGGTTACTCCCAGAGTGAAAGCAAGAGCCATCAAGCCCTGATTCTGGCCAGCAGATCCATCTCAAAGCTGAGTAAAAATACCGTTGGGATGATTAAGCTGTGTCTCTCCCATGTTGGTAATTCCTGTATCCAACCCCTCCCTCTGAATGTGAAAGAGTTTCTCAGGGGAGCCAGAGTTGCCACCAGCCTAGTTTGCATGGTGGGTTTATTTGGCAGGGCTCTGCTCAGCCTGTGGTGCCAGTTGGCTGGTAAATTACAGTTAGGTACAAATCACCATCTTAAAATTAACCAAATACTTCCTGTGAAATGCCAGAAGGCAGTCATTAAGCTTTATTGGACAGTTTTGACTGGGAAGCATCAGAATGTCAGAAATATGGAAAGAAAAAACTTGACAGACGGTGATGATATAGGAAGTTCCTGTGGGAAGGTGGGAGGATTATTTTCAGTTGAAATGTAGCAGTGAGTTTTGAAATGGTTACTGTCACTGAATATTCATCTAGTAGCTCAAGCTATAGGCAGACTTTAAAATCAGTAATTAAAAACCACATTCAGAAGCATAAATAATTTTTTGCAAGTTTCTATGCAAAGTCTAGAATGGAGATTAATTAGCATCACTCAATTAATTAGCATCTCAAATCAAGAAATGGAATAGTAATAGAAACATTGTATCAGCCAAGTAAAGCTTTAGGATAGTCTTTGAAAAATCTTTCCTAAAAGGATGACTTTTTAATATATTTGAGAAACACATAGTGCTTACCGTGTCCCATGAACTATTCTCAGTGATTTACAATGACTAGTTCATGTAATCTGCACAACAACACCATGAGGCAGGTACTATTATTATCTCTATTTTACAGATAGAAAAACTGAAGGTCCAAGATCCGGTATTTTGAGAACCTATCACCAAGAATATAACAATGTAATTCCTCCTCCTGCTTAAAGGAAAAAAAAAGAGAAGAAGTCAGGTACGGTGGCTCATGCCTGTAATCCCAGTACTTTGGCAGGCTGAGGCAGGTGGATCACTTGAGGTCAGGAGTTCAAGACCAGCCTGGCCAATATGGTGAAACCCCATCTGTACTAAAAATACAAAAATTAGCCAGGCATGGTGGCGCGCACCTTAATCCCAGCGACTCAGGAGGCTGAGGCAGGAGAATTGCTTGAACCCAGTAGGTGGAGGTTGCAGTAAGCTGAGATCATGCCACTGCACTCCAGCCTGGGCAACAGAGCGAGACTCTGTCTAAAAAAAAAAAGGCAATCTGTAAAGATCTCAAAAATCTATGCTTAAGGGGAAAAAACCATGTAAGTCCCTATTAACTTTATATTATGTATAATGAATCTCAAAATCAGCCTTTTAGAATAATATACATGAACAGAACAACATGACACAGCAGTAAGAAATGTTTGAAATTTTTCTTCAAAAACATTTATCTTCATACTGTGACTGAAAGTTTTGGGATGGAAAATAGATTCTAATCATTATAACCTTAGAAAATATATTTGAAACTTTCACAACTTACTTTCTCCACTTTTATATCACCTTAAATGTTAAATAAATGTATTTCAAAATTTCATTTGTAGTGGAACCGAAGAATATATTAAGATAATTGCCTTAAAAAGTTTTCCAAATATAGTGCCACAATTCCTGTCCTTATTATTAAGACTGAATCGGTATTTGCATTTTATATGTCTCTTGAGAGTGAATAAATCTTACCAGAAACAGAGCAGCTGTAAACTGAAATTTGGCAAAGAATAAAAGCCTCAGCTTTTAAACAATAGTGATGCTGCACAATTTCACAGGATCATTCAGCTGGGCTTGAAAATTCAAGCTTCAAGAAAACAACAAGCTAAATATTTAAGACAACAGTTGGCACAAGATCCCAAATATTTTGGAACCAATATGTTAGGGATCCTTAAAAGCAGAAACAAATACTCCAACATTTGGCAAGAAATAAAGGCCTCTTAATCAACAAATCATTATTGTATTCTGAAAGTAACTTCCCACTCAACTCTTGGATGTAAATTTGTAAAACATCTCAACCCTCTAAATGTTAAGGCACACGTGGCCACAGAACATAGCTGGAAGGGAGCACGCCCACTTCACCAAGTCAATAGTCATAAACCAGGGAGGAGATAAATCGAAGACTGTAATGCACTATGTCTAAATTAAAATGGGGAGCAGACACATGCTTGCAAACAGCTCCCTCAGCATCTAGAACATATATCAAATTAGCAAACTAAGCCTCTCAACTTAGAGCAATGTCCCTCAATTTTTTGAGAAATAAAGGAAGGAAAAGTATATCCTAAAACTTCTAAATTTCTGGAAAAAAGACTGAAAGCAAGAACCATATTTCTCAAGGAAACACAGATTTGAGTGTCATCCTAAAACTGGAAAAGGTCTCCCACAGAAGCCATGTTGCCACCTCAAAATTCATCAGTGAGTGCAGACAGTGTCCTGGCTTCCCCAATGCAACCTCTTTCTCTGAGGGATGCCCTAGAACTGCATCAATACAAAAGAGTATATGCTATATTAATACCATAGTAACACTCTATTGTATTGTGTTGTATCAATACAATAGTAATACTCTATTGTAGGGATACACCTATACAGTAGACACTAACCACACATGGTCACTGAGCACTTGAAATATGGCCAGTCCAAATTGAGATGTACCATACATATAAAATGCACAATGAATGTCAAAGACAATATGAATAAAAGAAAGCAAAATAGCTCAATATTTCTGTACTGATTACATGTTTAAATTATAATATTTAGGGTATGTTGGGTTAAATAAAATATATTGTTAAAATTAATTTTACCTTTTTTAGGGCTGGGCATCATGACTCACACCTGTAATACCAGCACTTTGGGAGGCCAAAGTGGGCGGATCATCTGAGGTCAGGAGTTCAAGACCAGCCTGGCCAACATGGTGAAACCCCGTCTCTACTAAAAATACAAAAATTAGCCAGGTGTGGTGGCGCATGCCTGTATCCCAGCTACTCAGGAGGCTAAGGCAGGAGAATTACTTGAACCCGGGAAGCAGAGGTTGCAGTGAGCCGAGATCACGCCACTGCACTCCAGCCTGGGCAACAAGAGTGAAACTCTGTCTCAACAACAGAAAAAAAATTTTTTTTTACCCTTTTTAATATAGCTACCTGAAATTTTAAATTATAGATATGCTTCTCATTATGGTTCTATTGGATACTCTATGAGTTCCCAGGGATATATGTCCCTCTGTTTTTTTCCACCTGAACACTGTAACGGCTTTAGGCAACCCCCGTCAGGCTGCCTGTGCGAACTGCTGTCCCTGTATTTCACAGGACCCCACATAGGCCCTCATGCAACAATGGAAAGCCCCAGACTCCCTGAACAGTAAGATGACCTTTTAGTAATGCCAGGGAGCAACCATTTGATCAGCCATATGTCAGTATCTAGTAATGGGGAAATAAATAAACGAGGTCTCAGGAAAGAGGATTATTCATAACTTTAAGCCTTTAACTTTCATTCTGGAATTGATCACAAAAACTAATAAATCAAATGCAGAGAACGATGTTCATTATATCATATTCCCTACTCAGACTGAATCACTGCTTTAGTGCAAATTGCTGCTCTGAGGTCACAGAGTTCACATTTTTGGTCACAGAAATCCTATAGGGTTTGATGTTCATGGAAAGAATTTTGACTAAGTTCTGTCAGTTTTAAAGTTGTAAATTCCGAAAACAGCTATATGGTTTTAAACATCTGCATTTCAAATTTTAAAATTCAAGTCAATTTCTATGTCAGTGTTTACCTACAACCTGGATATATAAAAAATATGCAGTAGTTTTTAAGTAAGACTACCAATAAGGTGTTACATACTTACATATTAAAAACAACTAAGTGGGATAAAGATTCTCATTTCTTAACTAGGCTACTTTACACAAGAAAGAAAAAGGCTGGACAAAAAAAAATCTAACAGTAATAATTATGCATAATTATCTCAATTCAGTCTATTGGTGAACTATCAAGTGAGCATCTTAAATCACTTAAATTATGTAGTCAAAATCTTTTCATGAAAATTAAAGACATTAATATTTTAAAAATTATATTTAAGGTAGCAGGATATTAAAAGACCCTATAATAAAATAATTTCATTTCTATAGAACACTTTATAATTTATAAACACTTTAAAATGAACTTGATCAACTAATAGCAATGGTCATAGTAATAAGCAAAGAAGATACAGTATGCTTAGACAATTATTAAATAATGAAAACTCTGTAGAAAGGAACTTAATTATGAATGAATAGTTTTGTTTCCTTCCTTCCCTCATTCATTTACCCCACAAATATTTATTAAGCCTGTGCCAGGTGTTGTGCTGGGTACTGGGGATAAAATGGTGAGCAAACCATATGTGGTAGCAGCCCTCATGGAACATTCAGTGTAGTAGGGCAGTTACACATTAATCAAATAATCTGGCCTCCCTAAAGAAATAATACTTGAGCTGCTGGCTGAAGGATGAGAACAAGTTAATCTTTTAAAAGTGAAAGAGAAGGTTTTCCAGGCAGGAGAACAGCAAATGCTACGATCCTGTGGCAGGAGGGAGCATGGCCCTTATAGAGTGTCTACAGAAAGTTAACAGCTAGGGACAAAGGAGAACACGGTGCAGGTAAGGCCCGAGCAGCAGAGGCCTGAGCCCACTTGTGCAGGAATTCTGGGCCAGGTTATCCTAAGGGCAATGGGAAGTCACAGAAAAGGTCATTCAAGCTGTAGTACCAAGAGCAGTAGGGGAGACTGGGCCAGACTAGAGCAGACCTGGACTGTGGCTGTGGTTCAGCTGAATGATGGAGTTGGGCCTTGGAGCCCAAGGAGCACTCAGATGAAGTTTCAGAAAGGTGAATGGGATTAAAAGCTATTTAGTGGGAAAATCTACAGGTCTTGGTGTTAGATTACATATGGAGGTGAGTGGGAGGAAGATTTCCAGAAGACACCTATATTTCTGGCTTATACAACTTGATATTTCCAGAACAGGAAACAAATGAAAGAGAATCAGAATTGTAGAAGAGAATGATGATGAATTTGGTTTGGGACATGTTAAGTTTGAGTTGTCTTTAAGACATCCAAGCACAAATGTCAAATATGTAGTTTGATTCCTGGATCTGGAACTCAGAAAGGAGTCTTTGCTAGAAATGTAAATCTGAGACTCATCTGCATAGAGAAGGTGACAACACAGCTGTATCTCAAGAACATGGCTGAGAAACAAGCAACACTCAAAGGTTGCTGAGAAGATATGAAAGATAAGTTTGAAGCACAGAGGCAGGTTTTGGCCTAGTTGTGGGAAAGGATTGCCTCTTGAGTGGCAGGGAATCAGTGGACCAGAATCACATACTAAAACTCTGGGCACTTTTTGGCTTGTTGAATCTGAAGATTTTTGTGGAACTAGTCTCCACTAGACAACGTAGGCATGGAAATATGAATAGATCGGTTCATCTGGATTGGGGTTTTCTCAAGCAAATGCATCAAAAATACAGGAAATGAGAGAACTTAAGGGTTTAGCAACAGTGATAGAATCTAAACTGCTTAAGAAGGAAAATGAGGAAAGGAAAGACTGGATGGGTTGGTAGAAAGTAGCAGGGCCAGAAAATGAGACATTACAATGAGGTCAAAGTACAACCATATTTTGAAAAAGGAGAGGAGGCTGTGGTAAGAGTAAAATGGCTGATAGCGTGATTTCAGAAACAGAGCAATTACTAAGGATAACAAGGTCTGAGGTGTGGCCATGAAACTGAGTGGCTGAGTGCAGGGAGATGGTCTTTGGAGATAAGCAGATTGAGGGTCCAAGGACCATGAAGCAGACATATCCTCCAGGCTGACATGAGGGCCCTGGGGGTGTAGTAAGGGGTTTGTGATGAGGAGGAAGACTGCAAGCCAAGTGCCGAAATGCTCAGTGAATAAAGGACAATGACCCCGACTACAGTTAGGAAGAGGAGAGAGATAAAGGGCATCATCTTCAGAAGAGCATGTCTTTGTTGTTTTTGTGGCTGTGGCTTTCTCAAACAATCAATTTGTGGAGTAATGGTCTAGAAGCAAAACCATGCCCTAGGAGGATGACACTCTCTCTACCCATCCTTGAAATACATGGGATGTGAGGAAATAATAATGCCACTACTTTGAGAGGGCTACAAGGGAAATGGTCCTCAGAGGAGGATGGGTCTCAATGAAGTCGGAGGCAAACAGAGCTTTTCAGGACAAGGAGATGATACAGCAGAGCATGTGGTTGTGTTGTGACACTTCCACATGGCACAGTGGGAGAGTCTGAGAGGTGGGGAAGGGAGGGCTCTGGGTTGAAGCAGAGAAGGAGAGAACATCATAGAGATTACTGCACTGTGGAAGACAGTTGATTAATAAGAACGGGATGGCAGACTTAAAAGTAAAAAATTATTTTAAGTATGCACACTGATCCTGGTAGCCAGAAATAAATAACTTGGCTGAGGTGGTGACAGACAGACACCATGGTCTCCATGTGCTGTATTGGTTGGATGCCAGGTCTAGAGCAGGGTTTCTCAGCCTCAGTATTATTGACATTTTGGGCTAGATGTTTTTTTTTTTGTTTTTGTTTTTGTTTTTTGTTTTTTGTTTTTTGCTGTAGGGGGCTGCCCTATGCATTGCAAGATGTTTAAAATGATTCCTGGCCTCTACCCAGTAGATGCCAAATGTATCCACAATCCCCGTGACATCCAAAAACATTGTCAGATATTGCACAACGTACACTGGTGGCAAAACCATCCACCATTGAGAATCACTGATTGAGAGCAACAGACTCACATAGGGAGTGCAGAGGCGTTACACCTGCTACAGCAATGTCACCAGTTCTCAACACATTTCTGGAACAAATCACCTCTAATAGCTTCAGAGTCATGGAAAGAAGCTGGTCTCATTACTTAACAGACACCCAATTCTTAAGAAAAATGTATTCCCCAGGTTTGTCATCTCTCTTATTCTTTGCTCTGAAGATATTTTGACTGTTCCCTCAGAGGATGATGCAGATTTACCTCCAGTGAGACTATTCAAATGAATGCCATGCATTTTCTCATTGGCTGCCCCTCAGTTTCTGGAATGTGCCAAGCTCCTTCCTGCCTCAGGGCATGCCCCCCTTCAAATCTCAGGTATACAGCCTTTCTCAGGAAGGCATTTTCTTGCTCTATCTATCCTGTACTTTTCCTTCAGAGCACTTTCACAATTATTTTTGTGTCGTTACTGGTGTGCTTATTTGTTTAATGTCTGTTTTCGCCATAGAATATACATTTTAAGAGGGAAGGAACCTTATCTGTTTTATTCATAGCTGGGTCCTCAGCACCAAGCAGAGTGTTTGGCTTAATTAATATCTATTAAATAAATGAATTATTAAAAGGAAATGTTGTGAGCATTTTGAGAATAAGCATTGTACTCCCCAAAGTGATTGCCTTAGAGAGGGCTCTCCCTCTCTCTCTCTCTCTCTCTCATTCTCTATCCCTATCTCTCTCTCTATATATATATACACATCTCTCTATATATACACATCTATATATATATATACACACACACATATATATGTATAGTTTTTTGATTCCTTTTTTATGTGATATACCTTTATACTAGCATACCTCATGTTTGAGGGAAGTTAGCATCCTAAATAAGAAAAAAAGATTAAAAAATAGTATCATTCAAAGAATCAGGAAACATATTTAGGTTTGACAAATAAGTAGGTCACAGCAGTTAGTCCTTGTGCCACCACAGTAAATTCACAAAAGCTCTGACTAGTTTGATGATTCCTTCAAATATGCATTAAGCCCCTGCTTTGTGCTTGATCCTAGAACGTGCAATGCACTTATTTCAGGGCTCACTACGGCATGTGAGGACATATCCTACAGGGCATACCTGAGGCAGCGTTCAGACGGCATTTTCCAGCTGGGTTCCTCAGGTTCTCAGCCTTAGAAGTGTGCAGAGGAATCAGCAAGCATTCCAGCTGAATAAAAAGACAAGAGAAAAGGGTGCATTGAGCTAAATGCAGAAAAGCACACTCTGGGTCTTCCTGATGCTAAAGTTTCTGAATTCCAGGGAGACAGCTTGGAGAGCTTTACTGTCCACATAAAACGTTCTGACACAATGCTCCTTTAACAAACAAGTAATTGTTCTGGATATTTTTAAGTGTTTTCACATTATTGAAGCTTCAAGGACTAGGAAGTAAAATATGTTTGAGAATCAACAATAGTAATTAAGTGTTGAAGTAAAAATTAAAACAAGAGATGGAATGGCCAAAGGAAAGAAATTAAGATTGGATAAAATAAAGACACAATGATCTAAACCACAAATACTAGTTGACTTGTCATTTATAGAGATTTTATTTTCCTTCCAAATATGATTAGTGGAATTAAATTAAAATCAAGTACCTCATGGCTAAGTGTCTACAGAAATATAATTTTCCATTCAAGAGCAGATTTCTGAAAAGTAGGTGGAAAAAATAACATAGAGAGAGAATAAAAATCAGTAGGAAATGAAAAATGGATTCTTATAGGGGCTTCAATATTGCATGATTGAAATATATAACAGGATGCAGTTGTCAGGCTTGAAATTGCTCCTTGGCTATTCAAGCACATTTATTCATTTAGTCCCTGCCCCCATCCCGTGTCTTTGTTTTTAATCACTGGAGTAACTCTGACTAGAAAAATAAATTATTTGAATAGTCTGGGTCCTGGTCCATGACTACACTTTACAACCCTCAGTAGAGGGTCTAGCTCCCATTTTCTAATACACCCAAGTGGCTAAATTAATTATAATCTGGATAAGCTAAATAGGCTTCCTTCTGTCTCAATTTTATTTTGGAAAGCAATAACAGGAGGAAAGTGCTTATGAAAGGAATATGTTAAGCTGTGCCTATTTCTGATGATTTGTATAAAAGAGAGAGCTATGATTTACAATCTGAGTGAAATATAATATTTGTTATATTGTGTACAAACCCTCAATTGGTATGACTGCATACTTCATATAGTATATCATAGTTGGTTAAGTATTCCATTTTATTGAACATTAGGTTGTTGAGTTGCTTTGAACATTTTTCACACAACTATATTTTTATTTCTTATTTTCTTTTTTTAATTATTAAAAATAGTATGTCTCTACTTCCATTTATTTCTAACTTAAGTCTGGACAAACCTAAAAGTGAGTGTCATTTTTTAATTGCTCCATTATGACTGAGCAGCACGGGCAGTCAGAATAATTCAAGGCACGTTGTTTAAGTAGCCAAGGGACTTGCTTAGCAACCTAATGTTGCTACAGTGTCCTTTCAGAATCTAGGTTATAAACTCATCTTTTGTAGCCTAACACAAACTCCAACAGGCATGGACACTTGAGCTTTAAAACTGCAAAGAATATTGATTACTATAGGGAGTTGTAACACCTTAATCTTTCTGAAAGTCCAGTGTTTTTAAAACACTCCCAACAACTGAATGGAGAGCAAAAATCCTAAAGTTAAAATAATCTCAAATTAAATGGCATCTAACTAATAAGTCTAACTTGATATGCTTCATTTCAAACATGATCATTAAAAATAATAAGATAGATGAAATTCTCTTTTACAGACATTTATCGTTTGGAGACCAACTCACTAAATCAGGTGTTTTCTAAAATTGTTGAATCATAATCCGCTATATACTACAAAGCTTAGGGGAATGGACACCATTTTAAACGTGAATTAACTAGGTGCCCACCAGTGGTAGACTGAATTTAAAAAATATGGTTCATATATACCATGGAATACTATGTATTAATAGCTGTAAAAAAGAAGAAAATCTTGTCCTTTGCAGCAATATGGATGCAACTGCAGGCCATTATGCAAAACGAATTAATGCAGGAACAGAAAAACAAATAACACATGTTCTTCTCACTTCTAAGTGAGTTAAGCATTGAGTATCCCTAGGCATAAAGATAGGAAACACAAACATTGGGGACAACTAGAAGGGGACTGGGGGCATGGGCTAAAAAACTCCATTGCTCGTTACCTGGGTGATGGGATCATCCGTATCCCAAACCTCAGCATCATGCAATATACCCATGTAACAAACTTACACATGTACATGCTAAATCCAAAATAAAAGTTGAAATTATTTTTTTCAAAAGGTGAGTTAAAATGAGTTAAGGATTAATCACCACTGGAAAAGGTTTGTTATATTTACTATTTTTACTACATATTATTTACTATTTATTATTCCCTATATCCTCCATATATTTATATACTTGATTAAAATGTATATATTGAATTAAAATTTGCTAGCAAACACATTTGTTTTTGTTTTTGTTTTGTTTTTCTGTTGAGACAGGGTTTCGCTCTGTCGCCCAGGCTGGACTGCAGTGGGGCGATCTCGGCTCACTGCAAGCTCCGCCTCCCGGGTTCACGCCATTCTCCTGCCTCAGCCTCCTGAGTAGCTGGGACTACAGGCGCCGGCCAACACGCCCTGCTAATTTTTTGTATTTTAAGTAGAGACGGGGTTTCACCGTGTTAGCCAGGATGGTCTCGATCTCCTGACCTTGTGATCCACCCATCTGGGCGTGCCAAAGCGCTGCCATTACAGGCATGAGCCACTGCGCCCGACCATATATTTGTTTTTATAAAAAGTTTCTCTCACCATAAATAGAGTGAACAACATGGCTACTTGTAAGCTCCAGGCAGACACTTCTTCTCCCTCTTCCCACCTCCTTGCACTTTTTCCCATGCCTCGCACATGGATTAACCCAAGGCTGTTTTCCCCTACAGCCCAGGGAAATCCAGGCCAGTCTCCTGCAGTTCCCCTCCTCAGAATCCAGAAATAATCAGAGCTGAGCCAGCTGAGTGGAGCATTAGGAAGCAGAGCAATATGAAAAAAGGCCAGAGTTGCTCTCCAGGTAGCCAGCATTTAGGGCTGCTCACACACTCTCAAGAGATAGAACTGCATTTATCACAAACCCCAGGGGAGTGCTATGTGGGGCTGGAAGCAAATGAGGTGGCTCTTTTTCTGTCACTTAAGAGTGATCACCTTTGAGATCTCTTTCAACTGTGATCATCTACAATCTTCTGAGCCATTGGCATGACAAAGATTCTCTTCCAGACCAAACCCTAGTCAGGCTCCTCTGAGCTCTTTTTCAAGTAGGCCCTGTCCTTGGGCATGACCTCAGGAGCTTTGTGGTCAACCACTGAATAATGGCAATATTATTTTGGTGAACAGAGAATTTATTGATTTTACTGAACATTTAAAGACAAGGAATGTATAAAAATAGTTAATAAAACATGTTAAAATTTTAAGTATCCATCAGCCTCTCAGTTCAGCTTAATGAACCCGGGAAGGAGGAAGGGATTTGCCTCTATTGCATAACTACTATAAAAAAGCAAGGCAGGGAGGGTACCAGAATAGCCACCCCAAAATATGCCTCCTCAGCACAGGGATCATTTTGACCTAAAAGCCATTGAGAACCAGCAGATGCAGGAGTAGCTCTAAACACAGGGTACCGTTTTCCTTTTGTAAAGAAAATTTACATTTATAAAGAACATTTTCATAATTTCTTTTTGTAAATGAAGTTCTCTTCCTCTCCTGGAACAGGAAGAGGAGGACTCCTAACTCTTATCAATGGAGAAGGTACTGACTTCAATCTGCACAACAAACCTTACTCAACAATTCTTGTTTACAGTACTTTTCCCAGTCATCTTTCTGTAACTTGTCTTTCCCATCCAGAAGCCCCAAACCCCTTTTCCTTTGATAATCCTAGGATCGTATATAAGGCCAAGTTCTAACCACTCCTTTGGGTTAGTCATCACTGGGTGCCCCCACATGTATCTGTGATGAACATGGAAATAAATTTCTGTTTGTTTTTCTCTTGCTAATCTGTCTTTGGTGGTCTAACATATGGAGGCCCTGCTGAAAAATCTAAGATAGAGGAAAAAAGATTTTTCCCCCTCCCCTACAACAGGCATAGTGGTTTTCATTTAACAGTGTAAAAGTTCAGCTACTGTAGTAACTTCTCAAAGTGAGTAATGACCCCCAAAAGACTAGTACCACAAATTTCAGTCTTTGTGATGAAAAATACAACCAAATAAATCCAGCTTGCAAACAAAAATAAAACACACATTTTACAAAATGAAGCTGTTTGCACATATCAATATGCAGCTAGGCTAGGGTAGTTTCTTACCTTTCCCAAGACTCAGTTTCTTCATTTTCTAAAAATACAGATAATATCACCTTATCACAGGGGGCTGTATAGTGTATGTAGTGTACCTAGTGCAAAGGCTGACACATCACAGGGTCTCAGTAAACATCATTGTGTGTCTTCTTTTATTATAGAATACAAATATGAATCATGTAGTGATTTGCTCCAGTGACAGGTATCTCTGTGAATTTTTTCTTTTGTTTCACTTTTTGCTAATGTAGTTCATATGCCAAATACTAGTGTTTTTAATACCAAGAATGTGTATAGCAGCAATCCTTCAAGGACTGTTCTCAAGACAACTTTACAGCTGGTGAAGACTCAGACCCCCGTCTCCAAGCTCTCCAGAGGAAGCTGGGCATTAACCCCCAGAAACACAGCAAAAATTTCTTAAAATACAGCAATTTTTTCACATAATTGAAATTATTTACCATCCTCACCCTTAGGAAATATTCATTAGTGGAACGTTCTCCATTTCTGGTAAGTCTCTTTTCAAATATAATCTGGTACATAGGATTGATGGGGTCTAACCTCTTAATAGTCTTTATTTTTATTAAAATGTTTCAAAGTTGCTAGAGTCTCACTTGGGTTTTTTTGAAGTCAAACCTGAAAATATATTTACACAGACAAAATAAATATCTTATTAAACCATAATAGTGAGCAAGTGAAACATGATTAAGCCTTCCAAACTAGCTGGCTAGCTTTTAATTACTTACTTCTAGTTGATCTTAAAACTGCCACTGGCAAGTTATATGACCGAAAAATACATAACTAAACTCCCACTAGTTACCTTATGGGTAACGTCTCTGACTATGGGTCACGGTAGTAACGGTGCTTATAGTTATTTTTCAGAAACTAGGGGGCAGCTTTTGTCTAGTTCAAGCCAGTTGAGACCTTCAACTTCACAAGTTGGTTGCACAGGTTGGGCCTGCAACAGCTGCCTGAAGAGGGACCTTTTTGATATCAGAGAGCCAAAAACTCCATTATCACATTATGCTAGTGCCACCATTTTCTGCACATATATCCTATGAAGAACCATACAGCTCAATTACCCTTGTGCAGAAGCCCTAATTACCTCACCTTTCCGACTCACCAATCATCTTTCCCTATACTTTAGACCACCCCACTTTCTATCACATACATACCTCCAAGCCCTATTTTCAGAGAGGTAGATCTGAGATTTATTTCCCTGGCCCTGCACATTGCAGCCTTGTGAATAAAGTCTTTTCTTTTTTGCAAAAACTGTCACCACAGTGATTAGCTTGCTGCATACAGGCAGAACGAGCCCAGCCAGTAACAAAAGGGGTAGGAAAAAAGTAAGTGTCCTATAGGTCTTGATGACATACAAAGAAAGAAGGACCAGACAAGGTAAGTTAGTTTAATATAATCAATAAACATAAGATACCAAAAATTAAGCTACCTTAATTATGTGGATGCATACCAATCCTACCAACATATAAGAGACTGGTGAAGAACTCAACTCTGACCTTTTTCTTCTACTGCCCAAATTCCTATCTAAGGGGTCTGGGGAGTCATGCCCTACAAACCAAAAAATCTCATCCAAGGGGTTTTATTTAACCCTATATAATGTGGCTGACTTTCCAACCTGACTCTGGCATAATATCACATGGCAGATAAAGAAGGAAATCAAAATATTTTAACCCCAAATATGTCTTCTTTGCTATGTCTTGAAATAGTCCTCCAAAGCTCACTCTTGTGGGGAAAATCTACATTCTGAAGAGAATCCCCTTCCTTGTCCTTCATTTTTTTCCTGATCCAGGAGACAACTGACTTACAATCTATTCTTTCCGAAGCCTCTACCTGGGGATTACTTCTGTATAATGAGAACATTGGTCTCCACAACCCCTTACCTTAACCCAGACATTCCTTTCTGTTGATTCTAGGTCTTTAGACAATAATTAAACTCTTTCAACCAAATGCCAATCAGAAAATCTTTGAATCTACCTATGACCCAGAAGCCCCCGCTTCCAGCTGTCATACCCTTCTGGACCAAACCAATGTACATCTTACATGATTGACTGATGCCTTATGTCTCCCTAAAATGTATAAAACCAAACTGTATCCTGAACACCTTGGGCACATGTTCTCAGGATCTCCTGAGGGCTGTGTCAGGGGCCCTCACTCATATTTGGCTCAGAATAAATCCCTTCAAAATATTTTACAGAATTTGACTCTTTTTGCCAACACTGGTTTATTCATGCTATTATCACATATTTGTTTGATAATGTTTTAGTGTAATACTCCAATAATACCTTATAATTTTTAAAGAGAAAAACAAACAGAAGTTTATTAACATGTTCAACATAAATACATGTGGGAGCCCCTAGTTATGAGTAACTCAAAGGAGTGGTTAGAACTTGGCCTTACATACGATCTTAGGATAATCAAAGGTAAAGGGGTTTTGGGCTTCTAGATGGGAAAGACAAGTTATGGGAAGATGACCAGGAAAAGTACGGTAAACGAGAATTGTTCAGTAAGAATAGGGAAAATGCTAGTCCTCCTCTTCCTGCACAGGTCATCATGTGAGTGGCAGTGCAGGCCTTTCTCAGTGTCGTGTTAAAAGGAAACGATGGTGATGACAATGATGATAATGATGAAGATGATAAAACCTTAATTAAACATGTAATAAGTGTGCAGCACAGTGCTAACTTCTCCCTAGCTTATTTACTACCCCTATTCTGTATGGATCTGGATAATAAGGCATAATGAGGTCAAGGAATTTACTGAAAGACACACAAGTAATAAATAGTGAAATCAGGCTTCAAATCCAACAGAGCCCATACCCTTAACCACACCTAACAGTAAAAAAGGGAACTATTCTAGGACACAGTCATACCCTGAAGTGCTAAAGAGACCAAAGACCAACAGTACAAAGGAAGTTTCCAATAATCTAAGATGCACACAGACTATGTAAGGTAATACCTCTGTCACTGGAAGTGAAAAATAGGACCATAAGACACTTGGCATTGTTCTGAAGATGATTCAAATGCTCCTAGGCCTTCCTGATCCATAGAAACCAAAGGCCAAGGATCAGAACCTGCAACCACCGCATGCTAGTGTCTCCCAAGGAGGCCCTGATGTGAGCTGAATTGTGTCCCCCCACAATTCATGTCTTGAAGCTTCCAATACCTCAGTATGTGACTGTGTTGGAGATTTGGGCTTTAAAGAGGTAATCAAAGTTAAAAGGTTACTGGGTGGGCTCTAATTCAAAATGATTGGCATCCTTCTAAGAAGAGATTAAAACACATGCAAATACAAATGAAAGACCGCGTGAGGACACAGGGAGAAGGCAGCAACTGTAAGCCAAAGAGAGAGGCCTCAGAAGAAACCAACCCTGTTAACACCTTGATCTCAGACTTGTAGCCTCCAGAATTGTGAGAAAATAAATTTGTGTTGTTCAAGTCACCCAGTCTGTGGTACTTTGTTATGGCAGCCCTTTGCCAGTCTCTTCCATGCTACTGTGGCTCAGAAGCTGTCCCGGGCCTGCAGACCACACTACCTCCAGGTCTGGGATGGTCTGTGCTCTGCTCAGACAAAGCTGGACCACAGGCATGCTGAGGAATCCATGACGTTGGAGGCCTCCTGGGGCCTGAGACAGTGGCCTCTCCACTACTGTCCTCTTGGAGCATCTGGCCCCCAGCTTTCAATTTTCCAATCAGCGCTCATCTTTCTCTAGGTGCTAAACCCCACCACTCTTGGAGGAAATTTTCTCTGGGAAGTTGCTTTCAACACCCAGGCATATAATTTGCTTGTTTTACCAGAACACTCCCTTCCAGCTTTCATAAGTACTGTGGGGGTCCAAGCAGAGAGGGATGAGGGTCCAAAGTGTAGACGCACAGCCATATGCTTGAAGCACCATCACCTCCCAACACTCCATCCCTGAGGCCAAGCTGTGTGTGCACCTGCATGCCTTCTGCATAACTTAGGGTGATTTTTTTTTCCTTGGCACTCCTTCTACCCAGCTACCTTCCATGGGTAACCCACTAGTCTGTCAGATATGACCCTTTCTGAATTCTTTCCAATGGGTGGGGAAACATTGCCTAGCTCCACGTGCTGAGAGATGTGAAGATCCAGTTCTAGCCAAGATAACTGGATACATGATGATCAAATGAATACAGGCAATAGCTCTTGGCCCACTTGATCGTCTCACTGCCCTACTTAAAGCTGTTGAGATAAAGTCAAACTTCTTAAATTAGTACCCCTTCCAACACTACCAGCCTTGTGTTTTACCACTTGATCCTTCTTCTTCTGGTTACAGTCATACAGACATACTCATCAACACTCAATTGTTCTCTCCCCTCAGGGTACCAGTAACTGCCATCTTCACTGTTTAGAACTTTCTACCCCTCCTTTTTGCCTGGTTAACCCCTATTCATCCTGCAGGTTTCAGATGTCACCTCCTCTGGGAAGCCCTCCCTGATCCTCCCAGGTCACAGTTAATTACTCTCCTATATGATCCAATAGCACCTATAGATCCCCACTCACAGCATAATCAGCACTCTATATAATTACTTGTTGGGGTGGGGGGTCTACTGCCCTAGTTTCATTTCTACCTGTAACCCTTCCCTAGACAATAAGTTCTTTAAGTGAGGTGATCATTCATTCTGGAATGGTTATGTTTTGCATATTGTCCCAGTGCAATTTACTAATCACATCCCATTTGTTCTCTTTTGTTTCCCAGTTTGGATGATAAATTATCTGGTCATCCTGTCTATATGGGCAGGATCCACATCTATCTTGCTCACTGTTTTAAATCCTCATGGACTACCATTATTCTTACAAAATCCTCCAAAGCAGATAAAGTAAAAGTACAATGTATTCTGTTTTAAAAATGAGGAGCATGACAGATTATTTGCATATATTGAATCATGATGTTTTAGTTTGTATTACGAAATTCATTCCCTAAAATAATGTTACATTAAATAATAAAAGTTTCTTTATATAAGAATAAGGATAAGGTATCTAGTCACCCTCATGAATACAGCTGGAGACCTTGGGAACCAAATTAAAATATAATGTGTAAGTTCTTCCAGTCACATTAGCACATGCCTTTTCAGCTCTTATTTTAATTTAATTTTTAGCTCCATCACTCCTCTATGAATAGAAACATAAAATGCATGGATCAGTTACACAGTCTTGTCAAAATAACCTAACCTGCAATTATAACATCCTGAGGTGCTTTTTAAAAATATTGCTATGAAAATTTTTTTATTAAGGAATTTCTTAAAGCTTTCACACCAGTTAAAATTAAAATAAATTATTCATCTTCATCTTTATAGATGACACAATGTAGATCTTGAGTGTTTTGCTAGTACAGAAATTATTTGTATGATAAATAACATATTACTTTATAATATGACAAAATGAACATTCTACATATATGTAATTATTTTAATTAGAAAGTCCTGTAATAAAAAGTTCTTAATCCAATAGCAAATGACCATTCTCCAGTGATTAATTTTTGCCTTTTAGCAAATAGAAAATATGAGATTTAGAGTTCCCAAATTTATGATCTAGATGTAATCCAGACTCCATTTTCAAATAGAGAAATGCTCTTACTTTTGAATTTTAATATATAGACTGTTCATTCATCAAATATGTGCTAAGCGCTTAATACATTTCCATTAATCATTGAACTAGATATCAGGAGTGACATAAAAAGATTAAAAATAGTCTGTGTCTTCAAAGAGCTTATAATCTTTGGCATAAATCAAAAAGCTTATAATCAAAGGCATAACATCCACATTTGCAGTTACCCTAACAGTATAAGACATTCTGCATTTTCTTCTATTGAGAGAGGTACAAATTTTCCTCATTTATAATGTCTAAAATTGGAGGTGTATTTTAAATCACTATATACCTTAATGTGCTACTATTTTTTTGCCTTGAAAAACCTGATGTGCTTCTTACATCTGCAAGAAACATTAGAACTGGGGAAACACTGTTGTTCAAGTGCCTACATATGGGCTAGGCGTATGTATGTACATGTGCTAATACACTTAATTCTTACAACAATCGAACATTATAAGAATTAAATGAGCTTTTTTCCCAGAAGAAAAAGGAGAGGCTCAGCAAGCTGAAATGCTTAAGGTAAAACTGGTAGCTGCTGAAGCTGAGACTCAAACCCAGCTCTTACATTCTGCTGCACCACTTTATCCTACCAAAGGAGAGGCATGTGGGTTAGAATACTGAGTAAAGACCAAGTAGGGGAGCACTAAAGGATGGAGAGAAAGGAGAAAGCTTTCCAAATGAGAAGCACAACACACTCAAAGATATGGAGACCTCCAAGCTACAGTTTTGTAAAATGAGAAACCTGTACTACATGGAGATGCAGCATAGTATACAGGTAAGAAGAGTGGGTTCTGGAAGAAGACTGTTGGAGGAAGAGGTTTATATTCTGGCTCCAATAGTGCTTATGTGACCTTCATGAAGTTACTACATTTCTCCACATCTCAATTTCCTAATTAGTAAAAGGGGCATAAAAATGAAACTTTCTGATATGGTTTGGCTGTTTCCCCACCCAAATCTCATCTTGAATTCCCAAGTGTTGTGGGAAGGACCCAGTGAGAGGTAACTGAATCATGGGGGCAGGTCTTTCTCATGCTGTTCTCGTGATAGTGAATAAGTCTCATGAGATTTGATGGTTTTAAAAAGGGGAGATTCCCAGCACAAGCTCTCTTTGCTTGTCTGCCACCATATGAGACGTGCCTTTCACCTTCCAGTATGATTGTGAGGCCTCACCAGCCACATGACATGGAACTGTAAGTCCAATAAACATCCGTCTTTTGTAAATTGCCCAGACTTGGGTATATTTTTTGTTGTTATTGTTGTTTGAGATGGAGTCTTGCTCTGTTGCTCAGATTGGAGTGCAGTGGTGCAATCTTGGCTCACTGCAACCTCTGCCTCCCAGGTTCAAGCAATTCTCCTGCCTCAGCCTCCTGAGTAGCTGGGATTACAGGCACCCACCACCACGCCCAGCTAATTTTTATATTTTTAGTAGAGACGGGGTTTCACCATGTTGGCCTAGCTGGTCTCGAACTCCTGACCTCAGATGATCTGCCTGCCTCAGCCTCCCAAAGTGCTGGGATTACAGGCATGAGCCACCGTGCCTGGCCTCGGGTATGTCTTTATCAGCAGTGTGAAAATGGACTAATACACTTACCAAAAGTTAAAAGTGGCAGATTGAACACATATCCATTCAAATGTTTGCACTGAATGCAACTCACACCCTGATTTAAGGAAACATTAATTTAAAATATTTTTTTCATCTTTCTCTTGAGGAAATAACCTCACTGAAACTATAGTAAAGAGATGAAAAAACAACAATAAACCCCCAAGATCAAAGAGAACAAGAGAAGAAATTAAAAACATAAAACTTATTGAAGATAGAGAACAGAACAGTTGGATGCATAATAACTGACTCAGCAGGAGACAAGAAAGGCAAATTCCAACCTGGCAATGGGCAATTCAAAGAAAAAACTCAATTTGCATCAAGGAATATATATCCAAAAGACTCAGGAACCAATGGTATGAGTATGAGGTTCATGCTGTGGACTGAATGTGTCTCCCCCAAAATTCAAGTGTTCAAACTCTTATATCCAATGTGATGGTACTGGGAGGTGGAGCCTTTGGGAGGTAATTGGGTAATGACAGTGGCGCACTCATGATGGGATCAATGCTATTATAAGAAGAGACAAAACAGAGCTTGCTTCCTCTCTCGTTTCTCCACAATGTGATGGTCATCTGTAAACTAGGAAGCAGGTCTTCCCCAGACATTGAATCTGGCAGCATCTTGATCTTTGACTTTCCAGGCTTCAGAATTGTGAGAAATATACTTGTTGTTTAAGCTACCCAGTCTATGGTAGTTTGTTATTGTTATAACAGCCCAAGCTGGCTAAGACAGTTGACAATAGAGAAACTAGGAGAAAAAAATCTATTTAAAAAGCAGTTTGAACTCTTAGGTCCCTTCCCCTAATCTGCACTACATGGTTACTGTCCGTCTCATCCCAGTGACAGAATGGATATTTGCTCTCTGGAGAAAATAAAAGTATCTCTAGACTGGGGAATGCCACGTTCAGTAGAGGGTAGAGGTGCCATCTGAAAAACAAAGAGAGGGAAAGTTTACACAGAAAATGTGGAGCCCCTAAGCTTTCATGTTCCATTCAACTTCCAGAATGCCAGCAGCTAGGTTTATATAATCCAGGGAAATTAGAAGATTACTCTCTGGGGAATATAACTAAGCCAACACCAAACCTAAGAAGTCTGACATCATAGGTTTCCCAAATAAATGGCTCAACCAGATCACTTTATGGGGTAATCGCTGCATAACAAGCCTGCCCATGTGCTCAGAGCTTCCAGCCAGTTTTTTTTCTCTTTAATATGAGTGAATATCTAAGCATCACCAAAATTTTGAAAAGAAAAGAGAATTATCTAAGCAAAAAAAAAAAAAAAAAAAAATTGAAGGAAAGAAAACTAAAACAATTTTTTCCACTGTAGTCTTCCATATCCAAACAAATTATCATTTTTTTAAAGTCTAAAAATAGAATAAAGATGTTTCCAGACTTGCAAATTACAAGCAATTATCTCCCAGGCATTGTTTCCCAGGAAGTTATTAGAGGATGTTTTCCACCTAAACAAGGGAGTACATATTGAGAAAAGGAAGACATGTGATTCAGGAGACCAAGGATTCAACACAAGAAAGAGATGATAGGAATTCTCAGGTGATAGTGAAGGAAGTTCCCAAACTACAATTATTAAAAACAGGCAAACTAGAGGAGTTCAGAAAGATCCAGAGAGACTTTGACCAGAAGGTGAAACAGAAAACCTAATGTGGTTTCTATCAATTTACAGCTAGAGGAGAGTTTGAGGATTGAATTGTTGATAACAATATAAAAACATAAGCAAAAAAAAAAAAAGACAACTATTAATGAAAAACAAAAGTAGTGCAGGAAAGGAAAAGTAATCATGGTTTGATTATATAAATAACATTTAGATTGTCATAACCATATAAAAATGAAATAATGATCCAACCAAAGTATCAGTGTAACTAATTGAGAGAATGGAGGGATGGGAAGCCTGTATGTATGATGGCGTGATTTTAGGGAATGAATGAAGAAAGCTAAATTTTCTTTTTTTTTTTTGAGATGGAGTCTCACTCTGTCACCCAGGCTGGAGTACAGTGGTACAATCTCGGCTCACTGCAACCTCCACCTCCCAGGTTCAAGCAATTCTCCTGCCTCAGCCTCCTGAGTAGCTTGGATTACAGTTATGTGCCACCACACCCGGCTAATTTTTGTATTTTTAGTACAAACAGGGTTTCGCCATGTTGGTCAAGCTGGTCTTGAACTCCAGGCCTCAAGTGATCCTCCTGCCTTAGCCTACCAAAGTGCTGGTATTACAGGCATGAGCCAACAAGCTTGGCAAGAAACCTAAATTTTCATCTTTTTTCATGGGAAACCAATCAACTCAAACATCAAAAACCAAGACTGGCAACATAAGCATGTTACTGAGAAATATGGACGTAAATAAAGTAAGTTCTCACATACATTATTGATAGATTCTTGGAAACAATGTATAATGAATCAAATTTGTAATCATCTGATGGGGTCTTCTTGCCTGCTGCACAGACAAAACTAATTCACCAAGACAGCAGTCTTGTGGTAGAGAAAGAGTTTAATTAATGTAGAGCTAGCCAAGTGAGAGGACAGGAGTTTATTACTCAAATCAGCCTCCCCAGGAACTCAGAGGCTAGGGTTTTTATGGTAAGTTAGCAGGCAGGGGACCAGGGAATGGGTGCTGCTGATTGATTGGGGATGAACTCACAGGGTTGTGGTAAACAATCCTTATGTGCTGGGACAGCCTCTGGGTGGGGGCCATAGGCCTGGCTGAGTCATAAGTCATGGGTCCTGGTGGAGTCAATTGGTCACCAGAATACAAAGGTCTGAAAAACATCTCAAAAGACCAACCTTAGGTTCTACAATAGTGATGTTATCTATGGGAACAACTGGGGAAGTCACAAATCTTGTGATCACCTTGTGATGATACATTTACTACAGTGCAGTAAATGATTATAGAAAGGCAAGCTATGCTCACCTCTTTACAGAATTCAGGCCCCTCTCACAATCCTAATCTTGTGGCCTTTCATTAGTCTTACAAAAGGTAGTTTCAGTCCCTGAACAAGGAAGCGTCAGTTTTAGGGAGTAGCTATTATGATTCTTGCTTCAAAGTTAGACTTTAGCTAAATTCCTCCCATGGTTAGCTGGGCCTACACCTAGGAATAAGTGAGTCCAGCCAGCCTGTGAGGCTAGAAGCAAGATGGAGTCAGCCATCACAAATTTCTCTTGCTGTCATATTCTTTACAAAGGCAGTTTCAATTTTACCATAGGCTAATTCATAAAAACAAGAGTTAAGTTCCTATGGCATATTTCTGGTCACAAAAAGTCACCAAACTTCTTTTAAAAAATGCCCAAAACACTTCTAATATTAAACAATGAAATTAATATGAGCTATACATACATTTAAGAAACATTAATAAAAACAAGTAAGATAATTATTTACCCAATTATTCCAGTTCAAGGTCTTGGGTGGCTGAAGCCCATCCTAGCAGCTCAGGGCAAAAGGCGGGAACCCATCCTGGACAGGATGCCATCCCATCACAGGGTGCACTCACACACACTCACACTCACTCACTCTGGGACAATGTAGACACACCAGTGAACCGAATGTGCACATTTTTAGGATGTGGGGGGAATCCAAAGTACCTGGAAAAAACCCATGCAGACATGGGGAGAATGTGCAAACTTCACACAGACAGTGGTCCCAGCTGGGAATCAATTTTTTTCTCTGATTGACCTTGTAATGAAATGGCATTGAACAAAACAACGCTACTCCAGGACCTGCTGCTATCTAAAGAAACAGCTAAAATAATTGAAAGCAGTTGCCTCTTCTATACTTCCACATAACAAGCCTTGTGGATTATTTGACTCTTTATATAACACTGGTAAAAATAAAAGCTAAATTTAAAAAATATATAAAACTTATCTCACAAGGTATACAACTTAATTAGCTAAATTATAACTAATGCGATTTATGAGACAGACAATTAAATGAGACAATCCAAAGTACATACCAGTTTTGGTATGCATATTGCTCAATATTAATAGTGAGCAATTAATATTGTCTTGATGATGATGGTAAGATGATGGTAGTGATGGCAAACTCTAAGGTATCAGTAACTACCTTACCAGCGATGGTTAAGGTACAGGGTGTGGGGTGGCGCACTGTCCAACATGCCCCACATGGCCCAGCCCTCTTTGGAAACTATTTAAAATAGACCTAGAAACAACATACTGCTCACCTGACTCTGAGTATTAGTCGCAAACTTTCCTCCTGCTGCTGTCCCCTTATAGTACCCAACTTCTAGCCACAGACACTAGGTAAATGCAGCCCAAATTCATAATACTCCAGGAACAAGGTGTATAGGGCTGTTGACATCTCCTCTCATGCAAACAGCTCAGTTTGTTTCCTTTGCCTGAACCCAAGCTGGTCCTGGCTTCTTCCCTGTCCTACTCAGCCTGTTGAAGTCTCCCTTATCATCAAACCGAGACCATGTGAGTCTGACCCATGTATATTTTTCCATTATTAATAATAAAATTTTAAATATCATGTTTTAAATTTCTATTTAACCACTTTATGTTTAGATCAGGTCACAGTTCTAACCTAACTTACAAAACATTCAGAATTACACGTTTTGTGAGAAGTACTTTTTTTTTGTTCAAACTGAGTAATTTGTATTACAAGGCTTTCTTGAGTTTAAGAAATCAATGACAGCTATATGCACATGTCTACCCCCAAAATTGCATTTTCTCACTATCATCTCATGGGCTCTCAGATATAAGAATGTCTTCTGTTGTGGAATCAAAGTAGAACAAGAGTCATATGTGAAATGCCCTTGTCTTGTTACTAATATCAATGTCTATGGCAAAGAGGACAACCCTCAGCTATTCAACTGGTTATGTTAATTGGTGTGACGAACATGCTAATTCTCTCAGATAAAATATTTGGTTTTCCATGAAAATACATCTGGCCAGGTTGAATAACAAAGAATTTACTGTAACTAGTCGTTCACTAACCATTCACTCATTCACTCATTCACTCACTCACTCAACTCATTCAATATTTAAATAGCACTTACCATACACCAGGAATGCATGTAAAGGAGTAAGATTAAAATGATTTTGTAAAGCAAAGTGTCTGGGTTTTTTTTTTTTAACGTGACAACTGATAAAAGCTATCACTTAGAGCATAATTTTCCTTTTTAAAAAGAGATGTAAGGTAGAAGAAAGAACGTGGGCATGAGGTGAAGTTCCTTCAGCTGGGTTGAGCTTCATGTTAACTGACATCTTAACTATGAATTATAGGGGCAGGGATCACATCCCACTCTTCTCTTTGCTAGAATGAGCTATGTTCCTAGAACACTTACTAATAAATGTATTGTTTAGACATTGTTCTTGTTTAGAGAGCTAATGGTTTTTTTTTTTAACACAAATGTAGAAATTTCAGACACCTCCAAAAACACTTGCCTCTGTCATTAAAAATGTGCTTCTAAGTCTTTTACAGAATATGCACATAATTTTAACAACTTTGAGATATCAAAACTCAAAAGAAATCAAAATTTCATTTTAATTTTTAAATTAATATCACTTTAAAATCTTGGCTTTGAAAAATACACTGTGGCTCTGTTTTAAGACAATATTACATTGTCCTGCTTTTTACAGAGTAACTGAACAGCAAGATAAGGCACTTTGAAAATATAATGAGCACTCAAAACACTAGCCATAATTTTACTATTAAAAAAGAAAAAACAATATTGATTTAAGTAAAAAATTTTTAAGTCAGTAAATTTAATTCCAGTTATTAGTGGCAAACCATTTACCTACTGAATTTCCCTTCCTTAGTTTTACTACTACTAAATACCTTTGTGAAATATTAAAATTTAGGAGGGGAAAAAAAGAGAGAAAAGTTCTGCTTTCGGAATCACAGTACCAATTACACTATGAATATTTAAACAATGCAAAATCATTAATCTCACCAGGGAACTCTGAAGATATGATCTTATGAAAGTAAATGAGAGATGTCATTAATAATCTGTATTATTAATGTGAGTCAGTCAAATGGACTCACCACTGTGAGTCAGTCAAATGGAAAATATTCACAATTTTTACAAAAATAAAAATGAGATTATCAAATACTAACTCAGTCAACATTACACAAAAAGATGGTGGCAAGTCTACATCTGTGGAAAGAAAGGCTGGTCGGGGTAGATGGTGGCAACATTAGAAATGAACCCAGAGACACTGGATCTGGGTAAATGAACAATGATAACAAGTGTGAACAAATGTGAAGGATGGCAAAAAGAATTGCATGAAGAGAAAACTGACTAACTAGAATATCAGAGCTGGAGCTATGGAGACTCAATTTAAATGAAGTAAAATGCATGAGGATTTTAGAAAGACTCATCCATTTGAAAAGTTATTAATTCCTACTATGTGCCATTACCTTTAGAAGACACAGTTTAAAACAAGACATGCAATGTCCCTATTTTCACAGAACTTACATTCTAAGAAGAATAAACAGTAAATAGACAAACAAGAAAACACTGGATAACAATGGCTGCTAAAATGCACAAAACATCGTGATGTGATTGAGTCAACAGGTGTTTACTGTGTTGTCAGGGAAAGCCTCTGAAGAAATGAAATTAATCTAAAATCTTACTTATGCAAATATCAAAATAATAAAAAAGATTCTAAAGTCGGAGATAAGAAAGTTTTCTACATTATGTTTTGTAATTTCAGAAATGTTTGAATTGCTACATGACTTTTTCGCATGAGTCAGAAAAAGAGGAGGAGAGTGGAGTATGTTTTCTTGGCTCAGTCAATAGGCTTGGGTGAGCTCGACAAGTGGGAGGATAAATCTGAGAGAGAATTGCATTGGGGAGGTGGAGGGGAAAAAGGCTGTCAAATCCATCACAGTGACTGAAGTTAAATCCCTCCTTCATCAATCCTAATTTTCCTAATGCACAAAATCTATGATCACATAATGTTGTTTTTTAAAAAAGTGTATTCTCTAACCAAGATATTATTACCCTTTGTGATATCCTGTACTTAAAACTGCTAAATACTATTAGTGAAAATAAAACCATCATGTTTATTTCATGAAGAAACAGACCCAAAGTATATCCTATGATTTCAATAATTATGTATCACACACAAAAAAAGAGACTTGCCCACATAAGGACACACCTACATCACAAAATTTTTCTGTAGGTCTCAGGAATCATCTGATGTCTTGGTTGAATTTTTTTTCTCCACATTATTAAAAACAAAAATATTTGGTCTCTCTGGAGAAATGTCTAGGAATACCAACTATGATGATCTACCAAGCAGAGGATATGAACCAACCTCAAGTTTGACGTACAAGGTGAAATAACTTTCCCAAGATCACCAATCTAATAAGTGGTAGAACCAGGATTAGAATCCAGGTAAGTCTGACTAAAATTCACACCGCTCATTGTACATTGTGCTGCGTCTAGCATTAGTAACACGGAATAGCTAGACTTCAGGGATTTTCCAGAGAGCAAAAACTCTCACAATTGCCCAGTAACTTCTAAGTAACCTACAATAGACAATTTTCTGAAAAATGTTCATTTCTCTTCTGGATCCTCTAAAATCTAGCCTTGGATTCCAGAAAGGCATCTAGCCAAACCAAACATTTAGGAGCATCATACAATTCATTTCTTTATGCCAAGACCAGAAAGAAGTCCCTCTCAAGGATTCTCTGAAAAGGACACTGTGTAGTATCCTTTTGACATAAGATAAGGGTGCAAACTTTGTAATCAAACTGCCTAGGTTTAAATCCCCAGCCACTACCAGTGTGACTCTGGACAAGTACTTAATTCCTCTCTGCCTCAGTTTCTTCATTCTATAAAATATGATTAATATAATACTACTTACCTCACAGCATGTTTATAAGAGTTTAATGAGTCAATATAATTACTAAGAACAATGCAAAGAGCATAAAATCCGTGAAAGTGTTAGTTTTAATCATTATTATGCCAGAGTACAAAAGGCAATATACCTTCCCATCTGTACTCCCAAATTACCATCTCTGTATATATTGAGGTATGCCATTAATAAAAGCATCAGAGAAGAGATGTGATAACCCTGTAAAGATGCTTGTAAGACATTGCTCATGACATTAATCACACAGTGTCCTTTTCATGAGAATCCTTGAGAGGGATTTATTTTTGGTCTTAGTATAAAGAAATAAATTGTATCGATGTTCCTAACATGTGGTTGTGTCTTATTTATGTTAAAATAAAAACTTTAGACAAATTAAATATAACAGTTTATTTGAGCAATGAACAATTCATGAATTGGGCATCACTTGGAACCAGAGGAGGTTCAGAGAACTCAGCTGTGCAGCGTGAGCTTCAGGCTTACACAGGTTGAATGCAGAAGCAAAACTAAGAAATTACTTGATTGGCTACAGTTAGGTGTTTGCCTTATTTGGATATGATTGGTGGAAAGTCCCCAGTTAGTGGTTAGTTGATGATTTCAGCTGGTTATGTTTGTTTCATTTTACTATTAACACTGGTTTCATTTACTTAGGTAGGAACCCAAGGTGCTGGAGCCGTCTCAGCCTAATGGCCTCCCAGATAAATTTCTTTTAACATTTACAAATGCTTTAAATCAAGAAAGTAATCAAGCTGCTTTTTTCACAATGACTACTAAGGAAGTTTAGAATTAAATATGTGCCCACTGTTAATAAGTATATAGAACCCAATATTTTTCTACAATTCACAGCTCATTTTATGGCCGTTCCCTTTGTTTTTCTTTTACCATCATTTCTCATTTGTTAACCCTTACACTTTTTTCCCCCTAAGTAACCAGAGTATAAAACAATCAGCCAATCCAGAGGAATAGTAAAGGGAAAGATGGGAATATAAGAGCTGTTATCTCATTAGGATCTACCTTAGGTCTAGTTGGAGCAGGATTGGCAAAAATGGCAAAAACATAAGATGAAAATTACAAATTCAGAAGTGGCCTGCCACTACCGTGCTTTCTCCCATACTTGTCCAATTATCAATATTATAAAATAATTATCCAGGCCCTTGTTCCTCACTACCTATTTCTCACAAAACAATTACAATAATTCCTAGCTCATAGCAGTGAAGTGACAGATTCTTGACTTAAGAATCAACAAGTAATTATTTAGTGGTCACCATATCCAGGCACTTCTAGGTTCTTGGGACATATCAGTGAACAGAACAGACAAAATGCCTGCCCTGTGGAGCTAACTGTCTACACAAGAAGACAGACAAACAATAAACATGGCAAATAAGTAAGTGATATGGTGTGCCACGAGATAATAAGTGCTTTAAAAAACTGAGCACCACAAATGGGATCCAGATGAAGGATTCACGTTAAAAAATTCTTTTACCAGAAACTGAAAATAGATATTATATATCTATTCTTAATGGTTAGATTGGTCTAAAAGGAGATATCACTTAAAACAAAATATTTAAAATATTTTTTTCCTAAATAAACTCATATTTTGAATATCTAAAAGCTTACTAATCCTGTTGATACTTCTTTGGTAAAGTGAATATTTTTCCATGAAACAAGATGAATCTCATCTTATCATTCATGTAAACCCTTATATCCCAGCCATTTAAGTAAAAGCTAAGACCCCAGAAAAAGTTAAAAACCATCCTTGTCTGGCCTTATACCCCACACCCATAACTGCAGAAACTTTAACTACACAATGAAGACCAGCTCCTCAGTTCCAGGGTTTGTCTCACTAACTCTCAAAACCATAATCACCCTGTCAGCCTCCACATTCTCATTATTCCACACTGTACAACAATGCCAGCCTCTGAATCTACTGATGTAGACACCAACGGGGCCCAGGTTCATGCCAAAAGCACTGAACATGGCTCTAAAGCCTGTGACTCCCCCGGGAAGCTACCACCCACTTCTCTGAAGAAGACACTGCCCAAGAATGCCATTTCCTACAATGACCAAAATTTTAAGTGCCAGTGCTGCCCAAGTCACCAATGTTGTGCACTCAGGATCCCATAGGGGTTTCAGTAAAACAATGCTTAAAATTTTTTTTCCTACCCTTTTTAAAGCACCCCTCTCTTTCTAGGACTTGGTCTTGAGTCTGAGTAGGCTTGGGTGAAGGGACAATTGAGTGGTAGGCACTGTGCTGCACTTGGAAATTAAACTTTTGCTCTGACGCTGGCCCACTGGGCTAGAACTAAGTGTGTGCACCTTTATTCTCTCCACAAGGTCTGTGATCTCTGAAAGGGCCTGCCCCACAGGCATGCCCCAGTCTTAGGGTACAGGCTGGGATTTCTGCTCTAAGGGAGTTGGATGTGGTTTTGCAACTCTTCAAAAGAAGCATGGTTTTGAGTTATGTGGCATCATGGTAAGCAACAGACAGTGTTAGCATTATCCCTGCCATGCACTATCCACAATTAGCATAAAGGGCTGGCACAGCCATGTGCTAGGATTAAATGATGATGTTTAAAAACAACAATAAATAAAAATTAAGTAATGGAAGCTGCATCCAACCTCTCAAGGAAATGCTTCCCAAATTAAAACAAAAATATTTTAAGTAGTTTATAACAAGAGACCTAGAAATTCAGCACAGCACATTGGAATTATCTCATAAATGGCAGAACTCATACACTTTAATCATCTATAAAAATAAAGAGTTGTCAACGTCATGTTATATTCTTAGAATTATAAATTTAAGAGTAAAGACGATCATTCTTCCAATAAAGAAAAGCTCTTGTAAGTCCATGAAAAGCTCTTTTCCTTCCTAAGACTGTTTATTCTTCGATGAAGAATAGATTCAGAAGATTCCACCAAAGAAGACAGTATTTCTTTTATTTTCCCAAGTACAGCAAGGCTATGGTGTACAGTTTACTGTCACTTCACAGATTTGGAAAGTGTTGTGAAGTCACCAACAAATCTCGTCTTCTAACCTCACAACTTATTACTCATGCAACTTGAACAAGTAATATAGCCTTTCTGAGCCAACATTTATTTCTCCATTAAGACAGAGGTAAACCTACATCCCCCACAATACTTTTAAGACTAAATGACATGATGAGTTGGCAAGTACTTCCTGAACTATGAAGTACAATATGAATATATAGCATCATCAAACTCATAAAACCCATATGGCAGATGGGGCCATTGTAGTAGAATATTAAGTTATTAAGTTATGTTAATGACTTGAGAAATCTAATAAAACTAATTTGTTCCCCACAAACAGCATTCCTTAGAACCATATTATGTAGGTCTATTGTAAAGAAACTTAAAAACAACTGTTTAAACTAGAGGAAGTCCATCATCCTTGCATAGCATTTTAAGCCAGAATATCTGAATAAAACAAGAACAAATATTTTATTCTTGCCTAGGCTCTTTTAGATAGTGCCTTTTATTCTGATACCTTGAATTCATGCATGCCTCATAGGTAACATTTTAAATTATTTAAACACCAGTTAATATTACTGGTGTCAGCATGATCAGTAATTACCGTCTTAATAATCACAGGCATCTAATTCCAGTTGCTCCCATCTTTGATATAACGATGAGCAACAGCCTGGAGGACAAGAACTGACAGGGAACGAATACAGCTGGGGGTCAAATTAATGCTGGTGGTGAACTAGCTTTCAGTGAGAGGCACATGCTGAAAAATGAGACCACAGGTTGAGAAGGAATTAATGTCCTGAGAGTTTTGTACAAAATAAAATATTTTCTGAACATGAGAACAGCTTTTGAATCTAGATCTGAAGAAGCTGGCTAAATAAATCATACCTCCAACAACCTTCTTTTCAGTAATTATAAAAAGAATGCATCTGCACACTCGTTCCCCTGCCAGATATGACTTTTCCCTTCCCCAGATGGCTGGGGCAAGTGTCTGTGCATATGGCAAAAGAAAAAAGCAGGAAGCTCGAAGTGTTTAACTGGAAAAGGAAGCAGTGAAGGCTTATGAAATGTGTTTGTGCGAGGCACTACAGGGGCCGCAAAGCCAAAGAAGAGCAACCAGTAAAGACAAGACCTCGGAGACCTGGGTCCTGGTCCCGGCTCTGCTACTAAGGGTTTCACTGGCCAAGCCAGTTTGTTTCCCTGGGCTTCTGCTTTCTCATACAAAATGTGGAGGAATCCAATTAAATCAGTTTGTGGGATTTACAGCTGATGTGAAGTTATCCAACATTGGGGGTCAGCAGTAATAAGTAAAACAGGTGTCAGCCTGTGTGTGGGTGAGAAATCTCCTTGGTAGAACAGTATAAGGTTTTTTTTTTTTTTTTACTTCTTCTTGGAAATAGAAGTAAATATCATATTACCGCACAGGTCTTGTGTGAATGACACCAAGAGACCAACCCTTTAAGAGCTGGTTCTAGAGGAATATGAACTCTGCATTTACCATAAGCCAAATCCATTTTGAGGAAAAGAATAATGGCCCTATCACAGTCCTTTACCCCAGGATAGGTGGTTAGAATGTATGTGTGTATGTATAGGCATGTGTGTGTATGTATGTGTATATATGTGTGTGCATATGTGTCTATATGCTGGTATGTGTATATGTGTATATGTATGTGCATATATGTGTGTGTATGTACAGAGTGTGTGTGTGTGTGTGTGTGTGTGTGTGTGTGTAGAGGGAGCATGAACAATACATCTCATTTCTCTTTTCTCTTTTAGCCTACAGTCCCTCCTCTAAATCTCTAGCCCTGAATGCTTAATTTAATTTTTAACTGTGGCATGTGGGCAAGAGAGAGGTGAACAGGTTGCTACACATTACTCAGGCTTGATCGAAAGCCATTCTGCCGTAAGGAGTGATTCTCTGCAGAATGAGGACAATAAAAAACTAGAGATGGAGGTAGAAAGGGAGGTGGTGGCATCAGAATAACCTGGGGAAAGTCTTTTTCAATCTCTCTATGCTTTCTCCCCTCTCTCTTCTTCCTTGAGAATCAAATATGACCCTGAAGGGATATTCTGAATCACACACACACACACACACACACACACACACACACACCCCACAGCTGTAGCAAGTCACTGTTACTGATTTCCTGAAGTGGGATAAAAGATTGAGGATTTCAATGCTAATGTCCTTTCCAGCCTTAACACTTCAAGACATAGCTTCTATCATTCATATACTTTCAAATTAAGAAAACACACATAAGATAACCAGAGAACAACAAAAGGCAACTCTCCACAGCTAAATGGCAGATTAGATGAAGATGTCTAGAACAAGGGAAATTATTGCATGGTAGAGCTAATCAGGAATGGTTTCATGGAGGAAATGGGTATTGAGCACAGATGGCTTGATGCACAGATTTTGGACTGAGATTGAGGTGAAGAAGCATGTTGGGCATCTGGCAGGTGCGAGGTGGCAGCAGTAGCTGGAAAGGATGGTGAGGGGGACAGCAGTAGTACAGGGGCAGCACCAGTCTGGACTGACCCAGACAAGTGGGGCCAGCAGATCTTGGGCTGCAAAAGGCAGTGAAGCCTAAGCTAACAAACAGTGACTGTGGGGTAACCGCTGGCTGTAAAGCAGGAGAATGTTAGAGCAACACATGTGCTTCAGGGAACTCTTTCAGATCATGGCCCAAGATAGTTAAGAACAGAGGTTTCTAAAGGGGTTCCATAAACAGACCTTACCTAAGTTACTATATATACAGTACATATGCCAGTCTTTTTCTGCATTCTTTCTCTGAGACCATATTCATACATGCATTTTGCATAGGAATAAGGATCTGGACCATTTATTTGATTCTCAAAAAGTTATGGGACAACCACTTCCTGCACCTGACCCCTCATCCCAATTACACACAACAGAGAAAAAGTAAGAGGTCAGAGGAAAGTGTTCCAAATTGTTCTTGGGGGTCTTCTCATTGCTTAGATGGAAGAGATCAGTAAAGGACAAATCAGAGAAAAAAGGCAGCTATGTGACACCAACCCAGGTGATCCTTGTGCAGCAGGGAACCCCACAGAGGCTCCTGAGAGGATACTTTCTCAGGCTCACTTATTCAAGAGATAGCATAAGAGGGGCTTTCGTGGATTACGTGAAGTTGACTACAACATCTAGTCTTACCTTGATTGTTTTTTGGTCATCACATCATATCAAACCTCTTCTGCTTAATAATATCAATGCTTCTCAGAGCTATCATTTCATTTGACTAAAATGTAAGTCACTCAGAAAACTTATTTAAGAATTAAATCAGATTAAGTATGGCTAATTCTTAATGGGAATAACAACAGGTTTTTCAGAAAATACATGATAAGTAAGAATCATGATATCTCTTAAATTAAATATCAAAATGCATGTTTGTTTCACCACTTCCTAGAGAGAAGCCTTAGTATTTGGTAAGAATATTTCTCAAAGTTAATATTTTTGAAACCAGTGTCAACCCAGGTGGAAAGAACAAAATATACCTTTTTCACTATCTTTATTAAAGTAGTGCTGACTTGAACAGGCGAATCATAGAAGTTGTACCTTTTAAAGCATTTTCAAGCAAAATTTATTTTTTAAAATTTCAACCTTGTAAACAAACCCTTGAAAAGACTTGAAAAATTATTTACAAAAGTACAAAGGAAGAAATAATGGCTAAGAAAGGCTAATGAGCTATCAGTGCCACTCTACAGTAAATCCTAAGGTGTTAATTATCTGATTTCCAGGACTATGCACTTCACGTTTCTATTTTTGATTTGTACATTTCACATCATCTATTACGCTTTCCATTCTCTGAATTCCAACAATTTGTGCCTGTGTTAGTGATGCTTACCTTATGCCTACATCACAATTATGGGTGTATTATTGTTATATCTTTTCTCTCGGCTGTTCTATGAATGTATTCAGGGCATGGAGCGCCTCTCACCTCATTTCTATATACAGCATCCAATAACGTCTGCTAAATGAATGACTATACAGCATTTAGAGAGTAAGTACGAATCTTACTACAAAGTCTGGTGTGCAAGAAACTGTTCATTTGCCTGTTTTCTGTAACTCAGCTTATTATCTGTTCTACCAGTTGGGAAGCTCTGCCTTCTTGGGGCTGCTTAAGCAGGGCTATAGTATGGTTCTGGGATTTAATGCAGTGGCATAGTAATGAGGTCTGGGCTGCAGTCTGCCTTTGGTCTCTGAGTCACCATGCATGCTTTATCTTGACCAACATCAAATTCAGTTGCCACTTTCACTCCTCTACATTTTGGATATCAGCAGCATTCTGCATCAGTAAATGCTCTCTCCTTGAATCACACCACTGCATTGGCTTCTAGGATTCCAGTCTCTCCTGGTTTTCTTCCTTCCTCTCTGGCTACACTTATTTTTTTCTCCTTTTTGCTTATCCCTCTCTACCTAATCATTAAGAGCTACAGTTCCTTGAGATTTAATTGATCTATTCTATCCCTAGGCAATTTCAATCTCAATCAAAAATCATATTATGGGTCCAATGTTTTCTATGACCTCCAAACACACAATAACCTATTTGATATCTTCATCTCAACGTCCTAAAGACAGCTCAAATTTAATATTGCCATAATCACACAGTTGTATGGATTAGTACTATAACCCATATAAATGGCACCAACATTAATGCAGTTGTATGGAATGTTACCTTCGCACTTGCAGTTGTATAGAATGACACCTCCACCTACGCCCATGTAGGAGTCATCAGGTTTCTCTTCCCTCACCCTCAATATTCAATCCAGCACCAGGCCCTGAAAATTTTACCTCCTGAGTTGTCCTTAGGCAATTTCTCTCCTTCTCTATTCCCACCTCCCTAGGCTAAGCTACTTCTATGACCTTTGATCTGAACCAGATCAATGGACTCCAGTGCCCTCCTATTCTGATTACTGTTCCCCTGTAATCAGATCTCATCTTAGCCTTCCAGTTCCTGCCACTTCATCATTACAATCATTCCTCAATGGCTTCTCGGCATTTCTGATAAAGATACCTATCTTTATAGGCCTGTGTGCAGTCCTTCTCTACCCGTCCTCCAGCACATTTCCCCCTTCACTGCCCTTGGCTCTCTGCACCCCACTGTGTTGACACTGTGTTTCCTCCTAGAATTTTTTCCCATTACTTGAAACACTCTCCAATCTCTCCATTTTGCCTCACTGATGCCTCATGTCCTTCAAACCCCCTTAGGGAAGGCTTCCTCATCAACCTCCAGAGCAGGTCAAAGCTTCCCACTTTATACTTTTAACAATGCCATGAACCTCTCCTCCTCAGCATTTATTTGTATTGTAATCTCACTCTTAATTGTGAGATCGTGTGATAAATGCTTCCACTAGAGTGTCAGCTCAGAGATGACAAGTTCCTGACTATCTTCCTCACCACTGACTCATCAGCCTTTGGCATAATGCCTGACACTTGACAGATGCCCAGTAACTGTGTGCCAAATAAGCATTCTTTACAGAGTAAAACAGTATTACTGAGAAAACTGGCAATGTTTTTATAAGCAAAAACACCAATGGCAGCTTTAAGAAGCAATAACAACACAGAATACATCAGTATTTTCTAACTTTCATCCTGCAATGACAGAATGGCAGGAAGAGGGGAGAGGCGGGCCATGCAAGCCAATAAGGTGTGGCCCATGTCTCATAGTTGTTTGCTAGCTTTAGAGACTGAGTAATGGAAAATGTAGATGGTGGTCAAAAAAGACTGCCTACATTCACATTACCCTACATCCATAGAGCAGTAATCCTGGGAAGAAAGGCCTGCTGTCCTCAGTGAAAGGGGAGCAGCCATTAGCTTCCTGGGCCCCTGCAGTTCACTTTAGAATATCATAACAGTCAACAACAAAAACGTACTGGGTGCTGAGTCTGTGTCAGGCACTAGACAATGAAACTTACATACATCACTGCATGTGGGTCACATGATTATACTGCAGGGTGGGTGTAACTGTCCCCAGAGCACAATACTGGGGTTCAAAGAAATAAGTAACTTTCCCAAGACCAAATAACTTGTATATGAAAGAACCAGGATTCAAGCTTAGGCCCGTCTATTTCCAAATCCATTCCATCTATGTATCCCCTGCTGCTGCTGCTGCTGCTGCAGGAAGAGAGAAAGGAAGCTACAAGCAGCCAAAGCCCACTGGCTGTGGAGGAGGCCAGTGGCTGGTGAACAGTGTGGTCCACAGGCAGCCTTAATACCACTGGTCATCAGGGAGGACCAGAGCAGTCAGAAGCAGCAACAGCAGCACAGAGAATGCTGATGAGGTATCTGCAGGACACGAGAAGCATGCCGGAAGGTGGAGCCCAGAAGAGAAGGTGTCCACTGTGGGGCCCAGCCCTGCCCCAGTACCACCTGGCCAGGGACCCCAGGACCCTCTGGCAGGGAACAATAGGGAACCTAGTGGAACTGAAGTCTGATCCTGATGCTGGTGAGCCTGAACCACACATTTGTTTTTTTTTCCACTATGGAATTATCTTGTAACTATAACTTCACTACTCTGGTGGCCAGAGACACCCTTGGTAAATATACAGCAAATTTGGAGCTGTGATGCTTTGAGAATGACAGACTTAGGAAAACATATACAGATAAGTTACTGGATTTCTTCAAATAGTCAACTCCTAGGGGCTTTAAGGGTTTTTCTGTTTGTTTGTTTTAAATTATTCATTACTTGACAAAGAGGCTTAGGAATCAGAAATACATAACACTAAAGGTTGTCAAGGAATCAGTATTTCCTGAGAGTGTGTTTATTTACAGAGTCTGAGAAGGAGACACGGTTCACATTGGGGAAGAATTAGAAGGCAGGTGGAGAAATGCTTTTTGAGACCAATCAAGCTATGGGTATTCAAGGGTTGCCAGAAGTTTTTAGAAAGAAGAGTGACATGATGGAAGCCACATCTCTAAAGATATTAGTGACAACAGTCCCTAGGAAGGGATGGAAGGATAAAGAAAGTGGCACAGAGAAGCTGTAAGGAAGCTGAAGGCAGAAGGGCAGCTGTGAGGATGGAGGGTAGAGGGGGACACGGGAGGAAGTGGAAGGAGAGGCTGAGAGCCCCTGATGACTGAATATTGAGGCAGGAGTACACATTGATTCCATGCTCTCCTCCACAACTGAATGAAGAAATCATGGAATCATTCATTAATAGAAAACGTGTGAGGAGTCAGCTCATCTCCCTGAGGGGGACAGGGCAGTGGAGGCACACCCAGAGAACCTCAGGATTGTTGCCCGACAGACACACATGGATGGAGTACAGGCACCCCTACATCTCTCTTCCATTTCTGTCCAATTTCCCCATGTCCTGACGCTAGTTATCTGCAAATAAGTTCACACACACACAAGAAATATGGTAATATCCAAATTTAACAAATATGCAGCTCCTTCATCTTTTGAACCACACATGCTAAGCACTAAGCAAATAAGACAAATATGCCAATGTCTAGAACAGGCAAATGTACAGATGTAGAAGCACAGCAGAGGTTACCTATGATGGAGAGGGGGTGGCGAATAACTGCAAATGGGCATGAGGGAACATTTTGCGGTGACAGAAATGTTCTAAAACTGGATTGTGTTGGTGGCTACAGAACGCTATACATTTGCTACAAACTACTGAACTGTACACAGTTACAATGGGTGAACTTTAATGATATGTAAGTTTTCCCTCAGTAAAACTTTTTTTTTTTAATCGATAAGAGCTGTGGGGAAAAAAATACAGGGTAAGATGAATTGAGAGTGAAGGGGTTGGGGTGGTGGGCAGGTTGTAATTTTAAGCACAGTGATCACAATGGACTTCATTGAGAAAGTGACATTTGAGCAAAGACCCGAAGGAGGTAAGACAGTGGGCCTGCGGGTAGGCAGGAGGCAGGGCATTCCAGGCCGAGGGTATTACCAACTGTGAGACACCAGTTCTAAGGCAGGAATGGGCAAGGCAATGGGAGATAAGAGAGGGATAGATGGTATACAGGGTCTGGTTCTTGGGATGGAAGCTGCTGCAGTTTTAGGCAAAGAAATATAGCCTCATTCAGGTTTTAAAACAAAATTTTTGGCTGCTGTGTGGAGAAGAGTCTATAGGAGGCAAAGAAGACCTTCTGGGGATCTGCTGCAATGATTTAAGCAACAGGTAATGTTGACTGGGACAAGAATGGTAGTGGGAAGTTGTGACATATGGTCAGATTCTGGGTATACTTTGAAGGTAGAGCCAACAGAATTTCCTGACTGTTTGGATGTAAGTTGTGAGAGGAAGAAGCTAAGGATGTTTCCAAGGTTTGGGTGCTGAACAACCAAAAATGGAGAGGCTCTGGATGAGGTAGGCTTGAAGGAAAAAAAATTGTAAAGCATGTATAGGGAACTATGCTACTATGTTCTATGTGCCAAATCATTTCACTTTCTTTGGGTGAGTTTTTAAAAGGCTTCCTTCACTATAAGGTAGGTTTCCTTCCAATATATTCATTAGTTAAGATACTTTAGAGAAATGAACGGCCATGCAAAATGTAGACATGTCTATTTAAAATCCTGATTCTTAGCATTCTTTATCCTTAGTCATTGGATTATGGAATATCTCATTTTCTTATAATTTCTTAATTATATTTCTAGTGACATTAGACTTAGCCTGCCTATAAAGGTCCTACTGCTGGCCCCAGCTGACCAACAAAAAGTACAGTGACACCAAAGGCAGTCAGTCACTCCTGAGTGATTCTCTTAAAGGGACAGGCTGAGCTGAGAAAAGGCCCAATCAATGTTGGGATACAGTAATAAAACCCGTGTCCTATCACAGAGCAAATTCAAGAAGCACCACATAGAAGGACCAAAATTCAAAGCCAATCTCTCTTAAGATTTATTTCTCCTTAGGAGAAACTGTGAAGAGATGGAGTAGAAAAAGGTCATATTATTGCATAGAGATTTAAATAAATATGTACTGTCATTTCCTGATGTAAAACAGAGATTTTCCTTTCTTTTAATTCTAAATTTACATATATTTTGTTCCTTCTTATTTATTCTGCACATTTGGTCACTGGACTTCTCTATGCAGTCATTATCATTAATACACAAGTTAGAAATACACATTAGACTCAGCAGCTGTGCCCAAGGCTATTACTCCCTATAATTTGGCACAGATGGCCAAAAAGATAATTTTGGCTGGATGGCCCAATACTAACCACCTAATGAGGCTGCAAGTTCAAAATCAATTGATGATAGACGCGGTTTCACAGTTAGTGTTCCCTCTTTTCTCCCAGACCCCTCCTCTTTTCCTTCACAAAAAAGGCAGAAGAGTCCAACCAAAATCTAATTTGCCGAAGTTCCACAGACAGCATTTACCTTACTTTATGGGGGGAAAAGGTAACTCAATAAAACAATTCTAGTCCTGAAATGGTCATTCTTCAGGTCAAAAGACTTTTTCTTCAAGTCAAAATATTATTAAGTATTAAAAAGTTTCCTGCAATAGGAATTGAGCAGGTTTGTACCTAACTCAACATCAGGGAAGCCATCACAATAGTCAATAATAATTAAATTACCATAGACAGGCAAACCTAAGTATGATGTCTGCCTTTCTCTCAGCTAGTCACACACCACAAAATGAATTCTCTTAAAATTACAATTAAGCAACATCCTGCCATGCATAACCTTGATCATTTTTGTAGATGTCGGCAATTCATTTATGCCTTCCAAGTTGTCTAATGGCAAGGTTTCTTTTTCTTCTTATCTGTATACTGGTGCTTAACAATTGCATATCTCTTCAAAATGCCTAATATTCAAAAGCACATTTTGAACTCTCGCAAAAATAAAGATCAAGCTACAATTTGAAACTGTAGTCTCTCTGCTCCTCATATCGTGCTATATCCATACTATCCTGCAGCAGTTCACTACTAACCTGTTAATCAATGACCCATAAGATTATATCCACAGTGGAAATGGCATTCTCCAGTTGGCTTACATAAAGCCATGTAATCACTATCAATGCTCTAAATCTAAAAAGTATAAAATTAAAAAGTATTTAGTTTTATCTTATGCAGAAATGTATGTTATTAATCAACCGAGCTACCATATGGACAACTATGAGGATATTAGCTGCTCTCTGCAGCAATCCGCCTAATTAGTTATACACAAATTTTAGTAGAAAATGATAACCTCTGTTTCAGTAGTAAAGATGTTAATCACACATCAAGACTTCTACCCAGACAGGGCACCTGGTTGGTAGAGAATTGTTTGTGTTGTTTAAATGTCCACTGAGTATCTGGAGAGCACTGACATCAGAACTGATTTAACTTGCTATTTTTTTGTTGTTGTTGTTAAGTGTCAATGACAAGAAAGCTGAGGCCCAGATCCAGATGGCCTGGCTGGTCCTCGGAAGGTAGGAATAAGAAGCAGAGTGTGAGCAGCTCACTGCACTCTAGACCACATCTCCCAAAGTAGACCTATCACCATAATTACTCAATGGGAGTTTCTTAATACACAAATGACTCAATACTAATGCAGATTCTCACACAGTAAGTATAGAAGATCCAGTAATCTATATTTTCGAAACAACCTCAGGTCATTCTGAGGACCAGCCTTGTTGCAAACCTCTAGAGTGCACGTATTTGCAGGACAGTGGTAAATATATGATTTTCTGACGCAAGGTCCTACAATGCCCAGTCAAAAGCAGTATCAGAGCACTCTTAATACAAACAAAGCACTTAACATATCTAATTTTATGTCATGGATGACAATGTGAGAAAAGTGAGATTATCTGTGTTATCCCAATTTATACAGGAGACTTAGGCACAGAGTTCTGAAGTCAAGGTCACTCCTTACAGAGTGAAAACTCAAGGAAACTGATTCCACCTGCTTTTGCTCTCCCAATCCACTTACTGTGTCAACCCCTAGCCTAACTGTAATCCACAGAAGCAATAACAGTGAGAGATTTTCAGTACTGATCTGTGACTCAAGCCACCATGAGTGACTGCTGCCTAAAGAAAAGGCCTTATTAACCCTGGCACTGTCCTTAGGAGGTCTCAAAACTGGCCAAGGAGGGACATGTGGCTGGCTCCTGGGAGATGACCCTCTGTCCCAGCTGAGATACTGGTGGGTGCTATTCCACCACATAGAAAGACTCTCTCCTGAAACTGTCAATATGCTTCCATCCCTGAGGTCAACCATGAGGCTCCAGATACAAAGGGGAAATGAATCACATCTAAGAACTAAGGAAGTTCTTGAGAGCAATGATAACCTGTGTTTCTTAAACATCTTGGTCAACAGTTGGCCACTGATGTGAAGGGCTCACTTAATGTTGAGAGGCAAGAAGTCTTCTTCCAACCTTGCCTTGTCCCTGCATCCAACAAAGGAGTCTTACACCAATAGCTGCTGACTGAGGCACTCTAAGTTTCCACATGAACAAAGAATGGATGGCAACGGAATTCTGAAGCAATCACAGGATATAAATCTCCCAAAAGAGGTCCAAGTAGAGGAAGCAGAATTCCAAGAATACAGTGCCCAAAAGGAAAAATTCAGTAATCAAGGCACGTGTTTTGAGGGGTAAGGGAATTTCATCCCTTACTGGGTCCAGGAGTAAAATATGTCGTTGTTTTCAAAGGCGTTATGTTGGGGTGATGCTCCTGCACAGATAAACCATGTAACTAATTCATCCTGTCCTAATTCCATGCTAGTGAAATCCTTAACCACTAAACCCTTAACCACTAGGAAAATGATGTGCTGGTCAAAGAATTCCACCCACATCTGCAAACCCCTTGGCAGTTACATATACAGAATATATTAATATTTGATGTTAAAGCAATTAACAAAATGTAATGACAATAATTAATTGCAGGCTTCTGATGGCTAACATTGATAAAAACAGCATGAAACACAGAAATCAAAAATTGGCAACTTGGTAAGGTACAGTGGCTCAGATCTCTAATTCCAGCACTTTGGAAGCCCAAGGTGGAAGAATTGCTTGAGCCCAGGAGCTCGAGACCAGCCAGGGAAACATAGTGAGACACCCATCTCTACAAAAAAATTTTTAAAAATTAGCTGGGTGTGGTGATACACACCTATAGTTCCAACTACATGGGAGACTGAGGTGGTAGGATTGCTTGAGCCCGGGAGATTAAGTCTGCAATGAGCTGACTATACCACTGCACTCCAGCCTGGGTGACAGAGCGAGAATCTGTCTCAAAAAAAAAAAGGGGGGGGGGGAAATTGACAACTTTGTGAAACAGTACAAGGTGAGAGAAGGGAAACATCAGAAAACCCTACAAATGACACTAAGACTCACAAATCTTAGGGATTTCAGAAAAAAGTCAAGTTAAATGCTATATAGAAAGGCCTAAGGGCTGTGCATGAGTTTCTTAAATGACTTTTGCTCTATTAGGAGGCCCCATCTGTAGGTGATCTTGAATACCTCCAAGAAATGATAAATAGCTTTGGCCCAAAGCTAAAGAAGATAAGCTATGGCAAAATTAAATCAGATTGTAGGTAATTAATGTTTTCATGGAAAAAAAAAACATTGATTCCATATTTCTTTAGGCTTTGAAATCTCAAAAAAAAAAAAAAAATAACCCAGTCAGTTCTATCAGCTCAAGGACATCAGGCTAGGAAAGACTAGTGAATCTTTATGCAGCCAAAGGGGCATCTGATTACATCTACACCACTGCCTATCACAAAACAGTATTTTTTTTAAGAGAAAGTCTCCTTTCAGAAAATGTCAAGCAGAGTAGATGAGGAAACAAGTGAACGAGAGACTCTATCAAAATAAATCTCCTCCACTCAGATATCCATATTAATTATGAACCTAAATTTCCAAAATAATAACCATAACTATTGCTTGGGGAGTAGTTTAGAATAAACTGGTATCTTCACATTTAGAGTAGGCTTTTTTTTCATAATGATTTTGTAACTTTGCTGGTCTGTGAATGTGATGCAGACAAAAGACTTGGCACTGATGTCATCTCGGCTACCATATTTTTCAGCTGAGAATCTACATCTCACTATAATCAATCTCCATTACAAAACATTTTTTACCATATTCTTTTCTGGAGCTATAAAGAAATGAGTAAAGGATTTTCTGTCTTTAACAATCACTAAACTTGTCTTTCTTATTTTAGGTATCTCAAGTAATGTTACCAACTAGTAAAAATGCATCTGAATTATGAAATTGCACTATATCTTTAGAAATATTGAAATATATAAACATATGCATACATCCATACCAGGTATAAGCAGAACACATTTAGCACAAGAAAAAGTATTTTATTTAAGGACAGGCTTTATAATCCATTGTATGATGAAAACAAAGCTTAGCTCAGTCTATGGGATCCTACAATATACTGCTCAGGCTAACTTCCTATGTGGTAGGCTGCTAGCAGTTCCTGCTGCTGTCTAGGTTCTTCTTAAGCCCATGAGCCGGGGGGTGACTTTGAAAAGAGTCAGGCCATACTAATCTCATGTGCACTCCTGGGTCATCAGAAATCCACATGATATTTCAACACAGAAGAAGGAGTTGCTGGTGGGAACAGGGAATGAGTGAGGTCGTGGTGCAGAGAAAAAGAAAAAAACATAGATTTAACTAGAAAGTATTCTGTTCGGGAAGATTTTAATCCTATCTGACTTGAAAGAGAATTTGAGGAGTGTTTTTTGTTTGTTTGTTTGTTTTTTATCCTGGTGAGCTTTTGACCTTTTCATAAAATTTACATAATTCAGCATGAAGGGAAACTTCTAGTTGTCAAGAAAGATGTGGGCTCTAGAAATTGACCTTGCAGAAAGGCTAGGAGGTCTGTACCCGCCAGGTACTTGATGCTGCCACTATTAATTCTACAGAGAACACAAGGGGCAGCTCTGTGCTTTTTGCAGATGTGGACCCCTGAAGAGATCCTATGATAGAGCCCAGAGAGCTGCCTGGGTAGGAGGAAACTGACTGACCCTCCCTCCTTTTCCTTGTGACCAGGCCGATGCTCCAGGAGCTGCATAAAAGAGGGAACAGTGGCTTGTCAGAGAGAAAAGACATCATTGAGTCCAAGCTATGCATCCCTCTCCCTGGGAGAGCCCATCTAAGCAGCGTACTGCATCACTAAAAGCTCCATAGCATAATGAGGGTAGCTCTGCTCCAAGGTCGGCACACCAGATTAAAACATTTTATATGGCTCAGGAAATTTAAATGAATTCCACCATCATTTTGAGGAAGGCAAAGGAGTGGGGAAAGGGGAGGCAGAGGGAAGGAATTAATAAGTACTGAGATTTTATTACACACCAACAATGTACTAGATGTTTCTATGCATTTCTTATTTAATCTTAAAACAACTCCATAATCTAGGTAACATAATTCCCATTTTACAGATGAGGAAAATGAGAGTTAGAGGGGATATGTAACTGGACTGTGAGTCACAGAACCAAGAAGTATCAGATTTAGTATTCAAATCCAGGCTCCAAGGCTCAGGTTCTTCTGGTTGTGCCATGCTACCTTGCACTTTCAATTGTAGAACTAAAAATCATAAATAATAAGGTTTCTAAGTAATGATTTTAAATGAGGTATCAGAATTTGTGTCATAAAAAATTGCAAAATGCCTCCTCCACTGCTCTATTGTCTGTGCCATTAGCATCAAATATGTTCTCACTGAAGCAATCAGCTAGGATGGGACTTCTTTTTCCATCAATATCTTGTATAACAAACGGGTTGTATCATCTGGGTGGGGAAGGGAGGGGGTAGCCTGCTTCTAAGTAACTGGTACTGGCTTATCTGGCATGGAAAGTAGAATACATTATGCCTCAAATAAACATGTAGGAAAATGTTGTCAAGAGTCCATGAAAACTGCCAAAGACATTTCTTCTTCATTTAAAAATTATCTTATCAGGTTGGTGACTCCAACCTTGCAAGGGAAGAAGCTATTTTAGACAAATTTACAGCTTTCAATGCTTTCTGCCATATGTGGAACTAATCTGACTCCAAGTCAAGTCTGCAAAACTGTTTTTTTTCCTACATAGTTCGTTTAAAAATCTCACCAAAACTTATAGTGCCATATGTCAAAATCAAGTTAAATTAAATACATTAATGCATTGCAATGTGTATACGAAATAGGGAAAGAACAAAAGAAATATGAAGAAAGTTGAGCATTTCACATTGCTCAGCTCCTCTTAGGTAAAGATCTTGACAAGAAGGGCCTGGGAATGAAGGTTCTGATTAGAAATGCCAGGAAAAAGGTGAACAAAATGAATTCTATTTACTAATTCTCAACAACAGAGAAAGTAAAATGTTCTAGGATAAATTCTTAAGTTCTGCTCTACAAATTGGAAAACAATTCTGAAATAATAAGCAGTCTTATAGGCAGAGAAGGGAAGTAAGACACTGCCTGGCACAGAGACATAGCCACATCTATCTCTGCTGTCACCAAAAAGCCCCTTGCTTATTAAGAAAGATGGGCTCCTTACAGTATCATTTTTTCATAATATTTTCCATTACTTGCCAAATATATCTGTGAAGAGCAAATCATCATATTGGCTTATATTGTACTTGATAGGAATTAAAATCCCTCCAACTTTAAAGTAAATTCCTGTCATGACAAATATCCCCAGTGCTAGACTCTAGCTATGACGCCTTCTATTTTATTTCATCCTGTTACCTTGTGCTGAACATTCTAACAGGTAGCTCTCCCACCCAGTCACTGAAGATCTAGTAGTTAAATGCAAGTCTAACTCCCACTTGCTTGTCACATTTCTTTCATATCTCTACTGATGTAATAAATAAAAACATTGACCCAACCAGGATCAAGATTATAGTACATTTATCTGTCACCAAAGCCTTCTGTCTAGATTTGAGTACAGCTTTTCAAATGGTTTACAGCCCACATTTTTCCTTTACTTGTCCCAAACATATAAGACTTCATCAAAAGTATATGCAACCTTAAAATCTGTATCTGTAAGAGCCTCCTTAGCCTCCAAGTCTATGACTCTACTAGAAAAAAACGATTACATCTTTTATCATCTAATTTGCCAGAATCTTTTCCCATTTTTGAAAATCCATATATTTACCCACTCCAAATGAATTCATATAAAACGTGTATGCTTTTTCTATAGAAAAGTGATATCATGAGAGGAAATTATATACCAGCCATCAGACATTAAAAATGTAGACACATCATCATGGTTTATGGGTATTTATTGTGTGCCAGTCTCTGTATAGAGAATATAATACTTGGTTTGTCCCTTGACTTTATGTTCAGTCTTTAGAAGAATCAGTACTACATTCTCCAGATTCTCCTCTATGGCTACAACTCCTCTCCTAGTCTCCTTCCCAAATTTGTCTTCCTCCATCCCCTCCCACCCATCCGCAGTTGCATCCTCTGCTGCACTCCATCTTCCAGACCATAGTTCTTCCACAGCTTTCATCACTCGCTCAGCTACAGTAAGCTCATCAATATTAGGTATCACTAGCATCATCCTCTTAACCCACATTTCCAACAGACTGTCTGGTGGAGACTCCCATCTTTCAATAGCTATAAGGATTTTCATTTAATATAATCATACCCAGCCATCAAGTTCCAGCACTAATCCCCCTACTACCTAGGGACTGACCTGATCTCCACAATCAGAACATTTAAAATTTTTTCCCTGTGTCTGAGCTTCTATGGAATCTTATATTTCCATTGTAACATTTAACACATAACTCCCTCAAAATCACAATTATGTACATGTCTATAACCTGCATTAGGTAACAGTTGAGAAGAAGGAATGTGAAAAGAGAAGAGCAGCTGAAGTTGCAAGATTTCTTTCATTGCTCCAATTGGACTTCACAGTCTTAGATCCTCCATCTGTAAAATGGAAATAAGATGCCCACTTTATAGAGTCATTGTGAAGCCGATATGGAAGTAGCTTGCTCACAGAAGAGCTCGAAAAGTGGACGCTGCCAGGAGCAGTGTGTTTGCTCTGAATCATTGAGGGCAGAGACGGTATCTCCATGCACTCAGCCAGGACTTTGTTAGAACATTACTAACACACACCTGCATAGCTCCTTACTAGAGGTGCAACATATTTCCATGAAAGGAAAACTGAAATGGCTTTATTTACTGTTAAGGCATCTTTCCAGAGGGGGATTTTGGAATAAGAGAACCATGAGAAGTCGCTGTTCAAATCTTTTGGCTTTTCCTTTTAACTACACCTCTCTGGATCCACCAAAGAGACAATGTAAATAAAATGACACTCCTCTCTGACTACTTACCTACTTCAGTGAAGTCCACTAGCATCTCTGTAGCTCTAGGAGAAACACGAGAAAATGGCAGCTTCTCAAGACGTATTTACCTCACTACAAGATAGTTATTAAAGGAGTAAACATTTTGTATACCAGGGTGCTGGGATTTAATGTCTCTGAGTTCCCACTTATGTTTTCATTCCTTTGGCATCTTGCAGTATTCAGTGGTGGGTTTTACCTAATTATCTAACACTTTAATCAGACATTTTCATTAAAGGCTCAGGATGCTCCATTTGCTGACCAATCCTACGTCTTCCTATAACAAGCACTCAACTGAGTTTTTCTCCACTTCTTGGCCTTATGGCAAGAAAAAAAACATTAAGCCAGGAACATAAGTTCTAAACTATATATGCTTTTGTTTCACCAGATTCAAAAATTCCTATTTTAGAGCACTTCATGGTCTTTTATTTTCTGAGATATAAGACAGAGATCTAGAAAACCTCAAAAAATTTTTGAACCTGTTTATTGAAAAACAAAGGTAGAGCATTTATTAGACTTTAATATTGAAATAAAAAACTGATCACTCACAATGATGGATGTATTTTTTCACATCAGTATTTTGTTAGAGAATACTAACTTATAATTGAGTGAGACATCAGTAATTATGGGTTGCTAACTAGCAGGCCACAGGCTAGATATGACCCAGATACAATTTTTAATGTGGTCCTTACAGTTTTTAAAATTAAGGATACCTCATAAAAAAAATCCAGAAGCTTCTGTTTTCCTTAAAAAACTGTCATGTTTTAGAGCCTGGACAGTAACAATCGGCTACAGTGGAGTGGGAGCTGCCTCCTTTACAGTGGTTTGCAAGTTCCAGAGGCCACAGTTCACACTCCACTCCCTACCCTCTCTCCCACGTGTCTTGTCTAGGCCTGCTCCACTCCTTTATCTCACTTGTCAGATCCCTGCACACATCTGAAACGCACACACAACTTTTTTTTAAAGGCAAGGAGACTGGATCCAGAAAGGGCTTCCCCATTCACTAGCTGTGACCTTCAGCAAGGTTTGAGTCTTGGGTTCCTCAGCTTTAAATGGAAGGTAATTTATTGGCCTCAAAGGGTTGTTGTGAGGATTAAAAAAGAAGTATATGAAAAGTGCTTTCTACACTGTAATGTAAAATGTTTGTCATCATTCATCTCCCAAAGCTCTGTGAATTGCATAAATCCCCTCTATCTACCTCTGTCATTATTTGGCTTACTTGCTCCTCACATTATTTATTACACTCTCTATGACAGAGTTTAAAATCTAAATTAGAAGAATTTGACTTATTTCCTTGGGTCATTTAACAAGAAGTAGAAAAGATGAACAAATATCCAAGGAAAACAAAATTAATTCTTGAATGCCAGTGGATCTTTACTGGGCCATTTGTTTGTGATGGAGGCATGAAATTCGTGCAAAGTGTAATTACTGGATTGCTGATGCCTTCAAGTACTGTGTTACAAGTTCACCCAATAGACACCCGAGACCTCAAAATAAAACAAAACTGACAGCCCAGGTATTAGGCTGACCTGTTCCATTGGCCTATCAGTGTTCCAGTAGAGGACCCAGTCCCATCAGAAAAAAAACAAAAAGCAAAAACCACTGCACTTTCATATAAGCTCTAGTAAGCCATGGCACACATTTTATATCTATCTCTATCTGTGTATAGAGATAGATCTAAAAATAATCAATAAGAGATTTTTTAAAAAACAGAATCTTCTCAGAAATGAGCAGAGGTGCAAAAAACTGCGCTTCAATACTGATGCAGGGGATATAAAAATGCTAGCAAAGATGTATGTCATGAATGCTACCTTCTTACGTTACGAATTCACAAACGTATTCCTGTTCTGGTCAATTTACAATAGAAGCTCATTCTTGTGTGGGGAAACACAATTAAATCATCTGCTTTTAATTTAAAATAATCACGACTAAGTGAACTGCAAAATAAAACTGGAAATAGAGGGGAAGAAGGGATCTAAACTGCAGTCATCTTTCTTTATAAGATCACCAAAATGGGAGTAAATTATGATTCAAGACACAATCCGTTGAAAAATTCATCTGACGAATCCTTTTTAAAGCATACCATATAGTGCAATTACGGCTTTTCTTGAAGTTGAATGAAACCGCCACCTGAATACAGATTAACAAATGCCAAATTACGAAAGGTCCTCAGTGTATATTTTATTTTAAATATCAAAATAAATAACGGCATCATTTAAGAAACCAGTTCTTTCAATAGATGTCCCACGGCTGATGTTTAAGCAAGTCTCCTTGGCAACCAAGGAGCACAGTACATATTGGGCTCAGGGGGAGGGAAGAAAGGGGGAGCGACTCCAGGGCTGGCAGCATAAGTAACCTGAGTAGTGGCTGCTCCCGTTAGACGACACGGGCAGAGGCTGCATGGGCTGCAAGCCCCTGAAATGTCAACTCCGGGTCTGCCCCCACTTGGCGCACCAGCAGCCTCCCACCCTCTTCCTCAGGTCTGCAGAACAGGTTACAAGGAGAGAGACTGGCTTACCCGATGGGGTGAGCGGTCTGCTGGGTTAGGTGCCAGAGACGGCAGCGCAGGCACCGGCCTCTCCTTGATGCACAATGGCTCTGCTTCGCCCCACGATGCTGAGGTTAACAGAACCCGCAGTAGCTTCGCTCTGCTGGTTCGGGGATGCAGTAGCGAAGACGAGCGTCCTAGCGTGTTTGTGTGTGCGAAAGTGTGTGTGTGTGTGTGTGTGTGTGTGTGTGTGTGCCTGCGTGCGTGTGTGCGCGCGACTGCCTGCGCGCTCCCGAACTGTCGCGCGGGGAAACTGCTCCCTAGTAAATAAAAAGCCCTAGCCAGCACTGCAGGTGGCACGTCCCGCTGACTCCGCCCCAGGCGGTCGCGTCAGACTGGAGACGCACCTTGGCACCCCCGGGGCGGGTTCAGACGCCACAGGGCTCCGCCCCCTCCCGCCTCCAGCTAGCCCGCGCGCTCCCTCCCCCTCCCCCGCGATCCCGCGCACATCCTTTCGCCACCCCGCGCGCAACGCCACCGCCCGCCGCCAGCGCGCTCGCTCCCCTGCCGCCCCCCGCCCCCGCCCCCGCCGTCGGCGAGCTGCCAGCGCGCGCCCGCCGGTCCCGGAAGTACCCTCCTCCACGCCGCCCTCCTCCTCGCTCTCCGGCACCTGCGTCGCCGGCCCCTGGGTCACATGCGCAGTCTGTAGCCACCACTGCGGCGACTGAGACCCGGGAACCCAGCCTGCTCGCCCCCAGACTCCTTTCCCAGGGCTGGCGGGCAATCTGAGCAAACAGACCCCGTGGCCCTAACTCGGTGTTCCAGGGAGTCCTTGCTCTGCTAACTTGTGAAGTTCAAGTTGCCTCTAGTCCTAGCGGCCCTACAGTGGCCCTCCTTAGGATAATACACTCTATGGTACTGACCAGAACAAATTCACAGTAACTTTAAGAAACGTCAGGGGAACCAACCCGCCAGAGGTGGACGAAATCCCCAAGCCTGAGAAATGAGAAAGGGTGTGATTACTGTGGTTACTACTAATTCAGCAATAAAACCGCAAACAGACAACAACCACAGAACCATACCATTAAATTCCAGGGCCTGGCACACTCAAGTGCCACTTCCGAGTCATTCAGGTCACTCCTGTGTAAAACATGCTGAGAAACTCACACTAAAGCAAAGTGGGTAATTTTAATAGGTAAGTATTCCACCACCGAATTGAAAACCTTAGTCCAACGTGGAGGTAAGACACCAGAAGCAGGAAGAGTGTAACTAAATTGGAGTAAACTGTATTTTGTAGAAGTTCAGGATTTAACTTACTGCAAAGATAGTATGTTAATCCTATTTCTTGCAGGTTTATGTTCTGCCACAGAGTTGGGCTAGGAACAGTGCCCTGATCTATTTTGAGGTGTCCTTAATGTTCTCATTGGTCTCAAATCAGTGGTTCAGCGATTATTTTCTACTTCTAGATCCACAGGATTTGGGGGTTTATTCGTTTGCTCCCTCTGGAGGTTATCTGTCTGGCTTGTAGTGCTTCATTTTCATGGTTTTGATATCTGGACGCTAGGATGCTGGGTACCTACTTATCTAGCAGTCCTGGACACAGCATAGGACAAGGGAAAGAATGACAAACAACTGACTACAAACATTAGGTGCAGTGTCATCCTAAGAATTTTTCATAAGCAACTTGATAGTTTTCATTGCGTTGTCTTCTATCAGAAAATCGAATATGAAAGCGTCTTTGAACCAAAAATATTGACAGTGACTGGTATCAATAAATAAAACAGTCCTTTAAGATCCCCAAGGTGTTTGTCACTAAAGTGAGAATACTTAAAATTTTAAGCCCATCTATATTGATTGGATTATCTGTTTAGAATAAATAGCAGCTATTTATTTAGTATAATTAAATAGAGCAAAGACTATAATTGCATTTACACAGGAAAAGAATATTTACACCACCAACTCACCATCTGTGTGACTATGGAAGAGTCTCTTACTGCCCAAGCTGAGTGTCTCAGGGTATCTCCTGGCCCTAGCACAATGTCTGCCACATAGTATCGGCTCACTAAATATTGTTCATTGACACATGGCGTTGAGGTTTAAATGGTAAATGCCTAGTAAAATGTCTAGTTCAGAGAGGGCAAGATTTTCCTAAATGGCTCCTTAGTATTGATTTAAAGTTTATATTTTGTCTTAAGTATTTTATTTCTCTAAAATAAGAGACATTAGTTTATTCAATAGCCACCAAAATTCAACACAAACATATGTTGCAGTTTACTCCACTCCTAGAGGAGCAACTAGGTGTTAGGCACCATTTCTCTCTTAGGTACCATTATATATAGTCTTTCTCCTTATTAAGAAAATGACTTAAAATAATACTTCCCAAAAGCTGTTTTTTGGAATACTTATTATTTGTTCAGCAATTTTTTGAGCTCCTAGAATGTGTTAGGTGGTATAATCCATGTAGGTCTTTTAGTTGTCAATAAATATACATTGTTCCTGTTTCAATCTAGTGATGTTATGAGGGATGAGCTGAAGAAGATTTTTTTTTTTTAAAGTGTGAGTCTTTGGTTGCAACTGAAAACTCTCTGCCTAATTTAGGCAAGAAGGAACTTAGTAGAAGGATATCAGGAGCTCTAAGAATTGATGGGAAGCCTAGCTAGATACCCAGGATAGAAAGCCAGCAGGAGAACTCCAGAGGGCACAGAAGCAGTGACAACAGGATAATATCAGGACAGGAATGTTATGAGATGGTGTCTTCCATTGCTGAAATGGGTGAGTCCCAATTGATTGCTCTTTGTACTCCCAGTTGTAGTCTGCAGCTTCCAGTTGTTTTAGCCTGGAGCATTGGCCTGTCCCTCAGTTGTGGTAGTGTGGGACCCCTGCTCATAGCCCCACTAGATATAAAAAGAAAAGTGGACACTGGGTGGCTGGAAAATAGCATATATTCACTATAGGAAATTGGGTGCCAGGTCAAATGAGTTGGGGAAACACTGAAAACTAGGTTCATGTCACATTGGTATATTAAAGACTGAGGTCTTACACGAAAGAAACCTCTTTCACTTTCTTAAACAAGTATCCTAGAGTTTGGTTGAGTAGGTAACACTTTTTTGTTTTTCTCAGCTTGCCTCTTAATATACTTTGATAAGCATCTTGGAACACAAGTTTCTGCAGCATTTTTTTCATCTATCATCAGCTTGTCCATGAGCCAAGATATAGGAGGGTAGCATAAATCTAGTGCTGTGAGTTTTTATAAAGTCTGTATTCTAACAGCTCTGGAAGAATCAGATTTGAAACTGTCTCTACACAGATCAGATTTCTAGCTAAAACTACATCATGAAAGAGAGCTATGTCATAGTTCTTTGTTCAATTCCTGATAGCTGCCTCCTCCCGAAGCAAGTAAGGAGGAAATTGTCATTCTTAATGCCAGTGTCGTGGTTTTCTGTCACAAACCAGTAGTGACATTAAGGAATCACTGAGCCATATTTCTAATTACTGTACTACTCAAGAGAACAGAGCAGCATTAATTATGCCAAAACCAAAATTGATTTTTGGCTGATGTTCTCTAGTTTTCAAGTGGATAACACAAAACAACTCTAGCTAACACTTAGCTTTACTCAATTACCTATGGGTACATTTTGTAGCTAATTCATCCTATTCATCAGGAGCCAGCGCCAGTGTAACTCAAAACTAGTGCCACAGGAAACTTTTTACTGTTAAACTATTTCATGTTTACATTTTCTCTGCCACATTCTGTGATATCAAATGCTGTTGTTGTTTTCAGTCTAATTCAACATAATCAACTAGTCACATGATGGGAGCTTTGTAAAAATTTACAGTGCTGAATAGAAAATAGCCCCTAACTGTAAGAAAGAATATCGTAATTACATAATTAAATAGGTTCAACAAAATATAAAGAGGATTCTTAGTCATCATTAAGATAAGGCAGATTTAAAAATAAATTGTAATTTTCATGTATCAGATTGGCAAAGATTATAAAAAGATTACAATACCTAGTGCTACAGAGAATATGGGTAAAGAAGAGCTTATGAGAATCCAAGTCAAAAAAATATTTTGGAAAACAACTTGTCAATATTTACATTCATTATTTTTTTCTTAAAAGCTCATACTTTTTGGTCCAGTAATTCCAATTCTAAGAATTCATCCTAGGGTTACCTCAAACAAAAGTTCAAAGACTTATGTGAAAGGATACTCATGATAGCTTGGTAATATTTGAGAGAGAAAAGGGGAGGGAGAAGGGAGAAGAGAGACAGGGACAGAGAGAACTAAAGGTCCATCAGTTGGGGACCAGTCAAATTATGAAGATACCAAGTAGCCATTTAAAAAACAGATTAGATCCTTGCAGACTGATATCAAAGCTATATCACTAAGTGAAAAATGCAAGTGGAAGATCAATAGGTATAATGTGATGCAGTTTGTGTAAAAGTAGAGGAAGAGAAGGAGGGAGATGTGTGTGTGTGTGTGTGTAATTGTGTGTGTTTTTCCATTTTACTGGCTCAGGAGGAGAGGGGTGAATCTGAAGCTGGCTCTGTTCAGTGCCATACACATCAAGGTGCTGGACCTTCCATGTCACCTCAGTACCATCGATGCTGTGTGTCACTCTCTAACCTGGGGAACTCACACATGTCCTAGGCCATCAAAAGGTCAGGATAGGCCCCTCTTAGGGCACATATTCTCTCCTCCTGGATTTTGGAAGGTGGAATGCCATGGAAAGGAAAACTAACAGTTGTATAGGTCTTAGTTGAATGAAGACTCAGTGCCAACAGGTCCTGGAGGTGACCAGCAGTGCTCATAGTGTTAGAGGATGGTGTCTGTGATGCCAACTCTGCTCTCCAAGGATTTTCCTTGACCAGGTCCCTTTCCCTGACCATGTTCCCTTACTGAGTAGTCATGATCTTCCCATCATCCCAGCCCAGGGAAGCCTATCCAGTCCTCCCAGTTAGCAAGATTCACTCTTCCTCATCGGGTTTTTTTCCCTGAAACTCTTTCTGTTCCTGTGTAAATAGACCCTGCCTTTCCACTGAGGACTGGCCTTTTGAAACTCATTACATCAAGAAGCAAATTCGGTTGGTTGATTGGTTTTCTTAACCTGTGGTCTCTAATGTTATCCCTCCACTGAGGCAAGTTTTATAAAATGCCTACTTAGTTGAATGGGCAAGAGCCCAAGTACGAGAAAACACCAGGAACCAAAGGCATATCAGTTATAGCTAGAAATATCTTAAGTAAGCAACTTGATTTTCTCTGAAAAGGGGGATGATGTGGCTCTTTTATTTTTCATTTTCTACCTTTCTGTACTGTTTATTATTTTTATGATGAGCATGAATAATATTTATATTAAAATACATTAGTAAATTAAAAGCATTACTTTTTAGAATCAATTTATAAAAGTGGCTATTATAACACTTTTAATTGCATTATTGGAAAATAATAAGCATCACAGTCAGAAAAAAAATTGCTTAAATATTGTGGGAATCCTAAAATTAATCAAGCAAAATTGGAAACTACATAACTTCACCCATATATAAACCTGGTAGAAGTAGAAGATTCAAAAACAAACAAATGAAACACATATGAATACATATTTCATATCAACACATTTCAACGTTTGGTCAGCATAGACTCAAGAAATCTACCTTTCAGTTCTAATTCCATATTCTTTCCTGACCCTTTCCCGTTCTCTTTAATCATAGTGACAAATGAGTCACAATACTTTTAAATCAGAGTTCCTTGTGTTAGTTACAGGTTTTTGCTTCTGTTTTAAGCAACTGAAATTGATTATTGATAACCTCATTACTGGAAATAAAGTGAAGAAGATACTTAATTGGAAGGATACTGGTGGCTCATAGAATTGAGGGACTGGGAGGGAAAACCTGAATATGCAAGCTTTTTGTAAAGCCAGGAACCCAAATAACTCCACTCCATCCAAGATTCAAATTCCCAGGAGAATCTAATTGGTCAAGTCTAGGTCATGAATCTCTCACTGTGCTGAGACAGGGAGAAGAGAGGTGGGGAGGACAGGGTATGTGAAATGGGGAAGGAGGACTTCCCCCAAGGAAGAGTGAAGTTCTCTTACCTCCATAAGGGAAAGGGATGCTATACTGCACAGGCGGAGAGATGGCTCTTCATTTTCTCCATCTTTTAAAAGTAGACTTAATTGAGGAATTTTATTACTTCCTTTTAATATTTTCTTTTACTATATCCTCTCCTGCCCCATTACTGCTTCAAAACACATTTCCAGTGGAATCAGAATTGGTATTTTAAAACAAATTAATGCAAGTTTTAAAGATATAAATTCTCTTTTAAAAACTGATGAGTAACCCACTGAATGTGAAGATGTCTCACAGTAGCCTATTTTGAAAATTTTCTTTCATGTTTAGGCCACTTATCATGGAATTTAAATTGAACACTTGGTGATACATCAAATTTTTAGTTTCTAATCTTAGAACTTTGTGTGGGATCAATTTTCACAGAAAGTTCATCACTATTTTACAGTAGTATAATGTAGATTAATGTACCTGACACTTCTAAAATTCTAACCCCACAGTAGTAATGTGTGAATTGAAGCATGCCATTAAGAAAAAAAATTGTTAACCTCATTCACTAAAATCATCCATTCATTCAAATTTAACTAATGTTTCCCAAGCCATATCAGCCTGAAGGTAAAAATATGTCATAAGAACTGTCAAAAATAACACAAAAATATTTCTCCAGCTTTAGTCTGTCTGATTAACAGAAACTAGCATCCCTGAATTCCCCAAATTTTATTTCAAGTTCTCTCAAAGGTATTTTACCTATGAGCTCTGTTAACTCACCCTACGCATCCTTGCTAGGACAAGAAATGGCCCTTTGTAGATATTGCGAGTGAGACTACATGGCTGCCTTGGACAGCAGCTCTTTCCGTTTTTATTTACTTCTTTTCCTCCTTTTTATAGCTTCTTCCTTCTAGGCCAGTGGTTCTCAAGAAAAGGTGATTTTGTCCCTCAGGGGACATAATGTCTGAAGTCATTACTGTTTTGCATGCCTAGAAAATAAGAATGCTATTGGTATCTAGAGGGTCAATCCAGGGAAGCTGCTAAACATCCTACAATGTACGGAACAGCCCCTGCAACAATGAATTATCTGACCTCAACTGTTAGAAACTCTTTTCTACGCATAGACCTCAGTCTCAGAGAGGTAGCTTAGGGGACAATCTGAGTAACAAACATATTCTGTCCTCAGAAGTCACCAGTCCTTTGATGTCCTTACACTAAAGATGCTCCTTGTCTCTGACTTCACTTAGGGTGATATTCTTTTCCCTGAAGTCTCTTAAGCCCGTCACAGGAATTGATCCCTGGCACACAGAGAACCACACTCAGCAGTCTTCCTGACAAACCCAAACATGCCTGAATACCAGAGGAGGCCCAGTTGAAGTTCCTGCTGAGACCCTTGCAATATTAATGATAGGATTGCCTCCTCTGTGAAGAATGTAATGATCATTTGAGGTATTGAACAAGAAATGGTGCCTCTGTCATAGCTGTTGTTTTCTGTTGCCAGCATCTCTCTCTGACCTCATCCTCCTTCTGATAACAGATTGGGGCATGGACCTCAGGTCAGACAGTAGACCTTTCCCAGGATGTTTTACTTCTAAACTCAAGCTGAATAAAGAGAATCTCTTTTCTGGTCTGAGGACTACAGGTTATGAGTCTCCAGGGGAACCATTTTGTGACAGTGAGGATATCAGGCAGAGAGATCAGGGAGGATGGAAAGCAAGGAGAAAAGAGGAAGTGACAGGGAGGAAGTGATAGTGCTTGCATCCTAGGTTATCCTAAGTCCAGCTCCACTGCATACTTCCCAGCATTTAATTTTGTTTGCAATAAATTTCTCATTTTCTGTTTAAGTTTGGTTAATTTGGGTTTTATAATTTCCAACATAAGAATCTTGGCTAATATGCCCGTCTTCAAAATCCTTGCAATTTAATAAGGCAGATAAAACAGCATGTGAAAAGTGCTTATATAAAGTATACATAGGGTTCTCCTAAGGTTGTTGTTATGTTTTTGACTCTAGAAAGGGTTCAGGGTTGTTCCTATTACAGTAGTTTATTAGGTTGCATATTTGTGTTTTATGCATTTTTCCATAGGTTGATTATATTTCACCACACATAATTTTTAGATGGAAAAACAGTTCCTTTATGATGAGCACCAAAAAAATAGCACTATAAACGTGTAGGAAGGAAAGAATAAATAGTATATAATCTGGGTCATAAATCATATGTTTTGGTTAAATAAGTGTAGAGGAGGAAAGAAATATTTCTTCTATTCTCTCATGTTTTCACTGGGGCCTTTGAATTGAATGGGCAAAATACAGATTAACAGAAGAAAAGACATACAAAAATTTTTGTGTTAATATTCTAATTTTTATGTGCACAGAGGCCTTCATAGAAAAGAATGGAAGAACCAATGAAGCAGTTTGACCCAAGGACTCACGTACCATTTTAACAGAGGGTGATAAATTACGGGAAAGTGACAAGGCAAAGGAAAATAGGTTTGAGCTTCAAGAGACAGTAAATTGTGGGATGGTAATATGCAAGGGAAACTAATGGAAAGTAAGGGTTGCTTTAGTAAGGTTTGTTCCTACAGACTCATCTTGGTGCTGACTTTTGTTAAAGCAAACTAAATATGTCCTGAGAAAGACTGTACTTCTATATTTGAGCCCTTGTGGATGAACTGTGACCTAACTTAATAGGTAGACAAGATTGAAAACCTAACTTAGGAGTATGTGCCTATAACAATATCTGAGTTTTGGCCAATCCTAGCAGCCATATTTCAACCACTCATAGACTGCCGAGTGTTCAAACTGTGTTCAAATAAGGCAAATGCCAACCTGTAACCAATCCAGCTGTTTCTGTACCTCACTTTCGATTCCTGTATGTCTCTCTACTTTTTTGTCTATAAATTTGTTCTGACCACAAGGCACCTCTGGAGTCTCTCTGAATCTGCTGTGATTCTGGAGGCTGCCCAATCTGTGAATCATTCATTACTCAATTAAACTCCTTTTAATTTAATTCAGCTGAAGTTTTTCTTTTAACACTTTCTGTCGCTAATGATAATGGTTGATCTCTTTCTTTTTTGGGAAAGGAAAGGGGAGCACCTTTATAAAGGCAAATTTATGTCCTGCTTTTAAGCCGATGGGGGAGGGCAAAGAGCTTTTTCTGTGTTTTCTGCTTTTAATTGCCTTAAGCTCAAAATAATCCTTATGCCAAAGTGGCATATTTTGGGGTGGCATATTCTGACCTTTTTCATAGGTAAACATGGAATCATATATACATAGTACTTTTCCAATTACAGAGCATTATTAATTCTCACTCTTAATAAAATTCTATGAGTATTATCCATCCCTTTTTTTTTTTACTCCATGGATAGAAACTTATCAATTTATTGAATTTGCCAAGAAATTAATTGCAGAAATTAATTGGCTAAAATCCAGCTTTTTATCTCCCAAGATCAGTGCTCTTTCCTCTAACTCAGAGCTGCTTCTAAGTTGAGGAGGGAATCACAAAGAAGACAGCCACACTATTCCTTCCACTGAGCTCTCGGGCACCTGGCTTGTGTTGCTATCATCTGTTGCCATATTTTACTGAAATTTTTTGTTCATATGTCAGTGTCTTTCATTAGGTTGTGAGATCTGCAATAGCATAGCTATTATCTTGCCCATTTGGAGGGTCTTATCTTTTTTTGTGCCTTTTACCATGCCCAGAACAGCTATTAGAAAACAGCAACCACTCAGTAAATATTTGTTGGATGATGGGTAGTGAGTGGATATGAGTTAAGAAGCAGGAAGATACAAAACAGCTGTAGGTACCATTGAGATTAAATTATAAATTTCAGTAGAAGAATTTGGAGAAATACTTTCAGAAAAAGTTGAGGCAAAATAATGGGAAGCTATAAATGCTAATCCAAAGTCTTCGTACTTAAGTCAGGAGGCACAAGTGACATTTATTCTTTCTTTTTAGGAGGGTTGACCTTCTTAATGGGTTGGAGGAAGGGTCATTGAAATTGTCCAGGATTGCCGGGCGCAATGGTCCGTGCCTATAGTCCTAGCTACTCAGAGACTGAGGTGGGAGGATGGCTTCAGCCCAGGGGTTCTGGGCTGTAGTGTGCTACGCTGATTGGGTGTCTGCACTAAGTTCAGCATTAATATGGTCACCTCCCGGGAACAGGGAACCACCAGGTTGCCTAGGTGGGGTGAACCAGCCCAGGTCAGAAATGGAGCAGGTAAAAACTCCCATGATGATCAGTTGTGGGATTGCATCTATAAATAGCCAATGCACTCCAGCCTGGGCAACATAATGAGACCTTGTCTCTAAAAAAAAAATAAAAGAAAAAGAAATTGTCCAGGATGTAAGTGCTGGGAACATGGGATACAGTGAGGACCATGGAAATGGAAAGGAAAGGAACGGTGTTGAGGCTTTGCCCAGCTAAACCCCCTTCTCCCTCATGACAATGAAGGGTGACTTGTCTGGGGATCTGCTAAAAGGGCGATAGTGCAGGGAGGTAGACAAAGCATAATCTATTTGGTAAAGCCACATTTCAAATGCTAGCAACATCAAATGCAATTACTAAGACCAAAGGACCAGAGGCAGAATTACAGTTAAGGCTGAAGAGCCGATAATTTGGAGCCCACTAGATAAAAAGTCAAAGTTAAGCAAGGACTTAACCAGTACAGAGGATTTTTGGTATTAGTTTCCTGTCATAAATTATCTCAAGTACAGAGGCTTGAAACAAGACAAATACAAATGTATTATATTACAGTTCTGTAGGTTAGAAATCTAGCATGGGTCTCACTGGGCTAATATCAGGATGTCAGCCAGGCTCAGTTTCTTTAGGATGGCTCTAGTGACACTGTTTCTGTGCCTCTCTGCCAGCTTCTAGAGGTCATCCACCCTTTTTTGCTTGTAGATTCCCCCGCTTTCTTCAAAGCCAGGATCATTAGGCTAAATCCTTCTCATGCTGCCATTTATCTGTTCTCCCTTTTCGCCTCTCTCTTCCACTTTTAAGGACGGTTCTCATTACGTTGAGTCCCCTGGATAATCCAGGATAACCTCTCTACTTTAAAGCTAGCTGATTTACAACATTAATTCCATCTGCAGTCTTAATTCTCCTTTGTCAGGTAATATAATCTATCCATAGACTTTAAGAATTAGCACATGGACATCTGCCCACCACACCCTTCCCCCATGACGGAGGGGACAGTGCCAGCCTGGCCTGCAGGAGGAGAGCCCTAGTTATTAAGGTGCACATATGTTAAGGGAAAGCCTGGCAATATTCTGATCCAGGCCACTCTCAGAATCATTACTTTCTTTCAAAATTTTTCTCCAACTATGAACAGTTAACTCTCATGTTCTTAAGAGAATTTCTTATTCATGAAAGTAAAGCTCACCTAGTCTCCCTACCGACCCATCTAGACTGCAGTGTGCTGGAGCCTGCTTGCACCGCTTGCAAAAAGTTATTGGTAAAATTTCAGGAATTTGGCAATGTCACATTGACATCAGTCAAGGTAGGACTGTTTACACCATGAAAATGAGCAAACACTAAAATTAGGGCTTTTCCCCTGAGAGCCAGGTATTAAACATGTGCCAGCAAACCACTGGGTATGTATCCATTTAAAGTGAGTGCTGCTAATAGTCAAGCTGGGACCTACATTACGTTTCAAAGACAGTGATTGGTTATTGCAGTTAGTCTGGGTCTCCCAGACAAATGCCAATACCAGATAGACCATAATTTGTCTAATTAGCTTCTGCTCTCAAATAGGATATGCAGAATTCAGTTTATTAGTTGCTGGGGTGTTGCCAAGGCTAATTGGAGTTATGATGTACCTAAACTGGACAGTACTGTCAAAAAGGCTGTACCTCATTAATAGTCCTTTCTAATCTTAGCAAGATTATACATAGCCACAAATCCCATGCTTGATAAGAGTTCAAGCACTTCAGAGCTGGTTCAGAAAGTGGTGACTTAGCAGAAACAGAGAGCAATCAAACATTGAAATAATTTTGCATCTATATTCATTCAGACAACAAAAAATTGCGAGCTTCTCCTAGGAATATGAATACCACAGTAAAACTGATAGTTATGGTTCCTTCTCCCACAGGGCTTACAGGGTACCTTGGTGAGAAGGGAATATGTGCAGGTGGTAGGGAGAGGAGCAGACAGACAAATAAGCAGCAATTACAATGCAGAGGAACTGGATCATGGAAGTAGTTAGGAGGGTCTCCTCACTGAGATTTTCCAAGTCAGGCAAGGAGTCCTGGATAAAGTGACACATAAACAGAGTCCAATAAGTAATAATAATAATAATAGCTAATACTTATTGAGTACCTTGTATGTTTCAGTTTAAGTCCTAAGCATATTTTCTTTTCATTTGGTTTTTGTAACATTCATGGAGCAAATATTATTAGTATTATCCCTATTTTACTTAAGAGGAAACTGAAGCATAGCTAAGTTAACTTACCCCAAGTCTCACCGCCAGGGGAAGAGCTGAGAGAGTAGGAGTTTGCCATTTTAAGGGATAATGGAGAAAAGAGTATTCCAGTAAAGGGAGCAACACAGGAAAAATCACAATGGGTGCTAGGAAAAGAGGAAACTTATTGACTAAAGATGCAAGGGGAGAGTGATGAAATATGGAAGCTACAGAGAAAGCACGAACTGAGAAGCAAGGTTTATCTGTTTGGTGGTTAATCAGGGTGATGAGCAAGTTGGCTTACTTTAAAGCACCACTGCAGCCTCCGTATGGCAGCAGAGGGAGGAAAGCCAGTGAGGAGGGTGAAATCCAGGAAGGAGATGAGAGTCAGGAATGGGAAGGGATTAAGAGTTGAGGATGCTGCCAGTTTTCTGCCTTGGACACCTAGGGAGGAGGTGATGGCCACCACTGAGCTAAGGGACACAGGAGAAAGAGCAGGTTTGTCGGGGGAAGATGATGAGTTCAGATTCAGAACATTACGTCTGAAAGGCCTGTAGGACTTCTGGGAAGACATCTCTATAAAGCAGATGGCTGGAGTGATAGATTTGGGAATCATCAAAATAAGATGGAAATTGAAGCCAGCAACAGGAAGAGATTACTCAGAGAGAGGGTGCAGAGTGAGGAGCGCCAAGAGCCTAGGACAAAGCATGGAGGAAATCTGTATTTAAGGGGTGAATGGAGGAGTGGCAGCTGCCAAAAAAAAAAAAAAAAAAAAAAAAAAAGAAGGACCGAGCAGGGAGATATATGGAAAAAGAATATTTCAAAAGAAGGGCATGGCCAATTTTGTCAAATACTGCTGAGTAATAAGTAAGAAAAAGACCAAAAAAAATGTTTATTGGATTTAGCAGTTTGAACTTTATGTTGTGCTTTGCAGTACTTTCTTTAAAGTGGTAGAAATCAAAAGCTACTTGCCCTGGGGTGAGGAGTAAATGGGAGGCGGGAAGTGGAAATAAGAATTAATTCTTTCAAGAAGTTTGACTTTGACAGGGGAAGAGATTCGGGGTAGAAGGTAGAGGAGACAGCACTGGAGGAGATTTGACCACACTTAAATGCTGGTGGGAAAAAATTGTGGAATAAAAGGTCAAAGAATAGACAGCTGATTGAGAAGCTTATTGTTTGTAAAGAGCTAAAACCAGTGAGAACCATGGGGGGAAGTTGAAAATGCTTGAGTTGGTTCTAGGTCCCTCAGGAAGTAGAATGGGTCAGGCTGCAGGACTGAGAGTAGCACAGGATGCAGTAATCTGTATGTGCACAGAAGTCTTTTTCTTCGCAAGAGACGTCAAGATTTTCTATCAGGAAAGTGGAAGACACAAAGAGAATTTGCAGTCAGCAACTCATAAGAGGGCCCACACCAGAACTATGCCATCCTGGCAGCTGGATCTTGAACTCCCAGCCTCCAGAACTATGAGAGAATAAAGTTCTGTTGTTTAAACCCCCCAGTTTGTGGTACTTTGTTACGGCAACCCTAGAAAACTAATTCAGAATATCAAAGCATTAGGTGTACAGTTTTAAAAAGATACTTAAGATATAGATATGTATTATTATGTTATTTACACAATTAACTATGTTCATTTTACCATACATGTTCACATAGAATTTATGATATATACTGAATATAACTATAATTTTGGTAAATAATGGTATTTAAAATAAAATTGGCAATTAATTATCCTGGAAAATACTCCCTTGAGTGTCAAAGCTTGTGCTGCTTCTAGTTTTATGGTTCTCTTATTTTATCAACAAACTGCATGCCAAATCTAATTGCTTCATGGTAATCCAGATTAAAATCATATTCTTATTAATACTGAGGATTTACCTAAAAGGCTTAAGGGATTATGTGTGGAAATGCAACAGAAATTGAGGAGTAACTCAGTAACTTCCATTAAGATACAATTGATTTTAAAAATCAACAAAAATTTTAAACTTGTATTTTATTCTCAGAAACAAGCATTTACAGTTTGCAAATTAAGTACAATTAAACATATACAGTTTGCAAATCACCATATGAAGTGCTGTAGATATGTGGAGGCAAGTGATAATGATACTGCTCCACATATAGTTGGGAAGACTGAAAATGTAAAAATAATAAACACAAATTAGAGTGCTCATACACAATGCTGCAGATACTATTTTCTCTCATGAACAAGGGAGCAAGCCCTTCTTTCCTCCATCATATAAACACATCCTTGGATCTTCCCCTTTGTGTGTCCTCTCTGACATAGCCACAGAGACAGGTAAATTTTGTCTAATTTTTTTTTTTTGCTTTATCTTCTGTTGGAATCTTTCTTGTTCTTTTTCCCTGGGGATGGGGTTATTAAAAACAGGGAGGTCATATGTGGGACCTCCCTGTGCCACTCCCTGTTCCCAAATGAAGGAGATTCCAAAATAGGGTGTGTTGCAGGTAGTGGAGCAGTCAATGGTAAATGTGGGCGGCAGCTACAGCGCCCACTCCCAAAGTGATAGAGAAAGCAACACCTCATAATAGAGCTGCAGTCCAGTAATCTGGCTCACCTCCAAAACTGGCTGTGTGAACCTTGTCTCTGAATGCATGACAGTCTTCCTCCTGCCATTTTTCCTTTCCCACCTGTCACATGTGTGGAAAAGTGCAAAGTACAAAGTTCTTTAAATCTTCTATTTCAAAACTACCATCTGTCTTCTTAAGATTTTTTACAATACCAGCAGGACACAACTGCTGACATTCTATTTCTAATTTTTAATGTGTTCAAATCACAATCCCTGCACACAAAAAGACACATGCTTTCAAACTCTTCTGAATGTGCTGATGTTCTGGCAATAACTCTATTCTCCTTTTCTGGTTAGCTCTCAAATGTTGGACTGGAAATAATTACTACAGAAGGAAAGAGCACTGGATGGGAAATCAGTATACCTGAGTTCTAGTCCTGAACCTGCCTCTAACCATCTGTAGCATCTTAGGCAAAGTTTCCCCTATCTCTGCTGAGTCTGTTTCTGCTCAGCTTGTCCATTATGGAGCTAAGAGATGGGAGTGCTTTGACTGCCTTTGCTGAAGAGTAACCCACAACAGTGCGAACAGAGTAGCAGTATATTTGCTCTTCCTAAAACTGTGGGATAAGCAGGGTTGCAAAGCATAGTCCAGAACCAAAATCAAGACCAATCACACAAGATTGTTGAATCTAAAAACTGGGTCCCAAGACAGAAAGAAGGTCCAAAAATAAGCCTTCGTGACACACATGCAAAATTCCAGAACAGAGCAGTTAATTTTAGGAGTTGACAGAAGTGTTTTTCTCTTCTATCTTCTATCTTTTTTCTGTCTATCTCTACCACCCTCACTTCCATGTGGTTCTGATAGGGATGCCGAATTCTCTAACCCTACCAAAGGATAGGCACTTGACCCAAGGCAGGTCAATTGGTATCCCTCTTGTCTGATAACTTAAATCTGGAGTAGAAAAAAATCCAGCAGCAGAAGTCAGCTGGTCTTCAGTGCTTGAATGGTAGCATCTTAGCCCTTCTGCTGCTTAGATCCCTGGAGCTGCCCTTGTAAAAGGTCAGGTCTTCCTTTATCAGGTCTCTGTACCCTTCAAACGGACCCTCTTTTTTGCTGCAGTGTTCATTCAGTTTCTCCTGGTTTCAGCAAAAGAGCAAAGCATATCCCCAAATGGTAGAATTCAAATAGGCACAAGTACGAAGCTTTGGTCTTCTTGTGCAGCAGAACTCATCCTGGGAGAGCTGGCTGGGAGCAAGCAGGAGGCATGCTAGAGTCAGCACCAGAAACTGGTGAAGGGGAGGGGGCAGGACAGTGGCAAGAGGATAGGGCAGTAAAGGGAGGGGGGTGCGGACAGTGGACAGCTGTTCATTGAAAAATGAGCTGATTATCCTAGATGATGTCTAAGTTCTAACTAGCATCCTATAATTCAAAGTGATCAACTCCATAGCTCAAATTATTACTGCCATGTTTTAAGTGAGATAGAGGAAGAAGCTTTGGTCTTTTTCTCTTTTCGTCTTGCTTTTTGATAAGAATCTAGTGGATGGGAATATCCAGAAGTGTAGGATGATGCATGATTCCAAGTGTTCTGATTCACTACTATAAATGCAGAGGGGTGTGCATGTGGCAGAACCCTGTTAATAACATTCATGTGACATTTTTTATGTGTCTCACAAATGAATCCCGCCAAATCATTAGGCGAGCCCAGTTTTATCATTACAAGTATACGTTTATTCTTGAACACCTCTGTGTGTGGCAAGGTTTTGGTATGTTTCTTTTCTAGGAGTATTTCTTGATGTTAATTAACATCAGCTTGTACTTTTGTACCCTGGGCTACCATGACATAAGAAACCTTTGACTTATCTTGAAATTTCCTCCTATTTCCCTTGTACATTATCAAGGAGTATATTTTCTGAGTCTCAGATACACAACTCTACCATTGGTAGCTTTGCTGCCCTGTGATCCTTTTGGGGGTTTTCTTGTTTAGCTGTTATAGAAGGCACAACACCAGTACACAGGAGTACAATGTCAAGCACGCTTCTGCCTCAGAGCCTTTGTAGTTTCTGTTCTCTTGGCCTAGAACTCTTTTCCCCCAGGTGTCCACTATTTATGAGTCCATGTATCTTTGGTCTGTTCTATTGGTTTCTGAGTTAGAAGATGGAAAATTAACTAGTCATTCACATACAAAGAAGAGCTATTAGTTGTACATCTTGAGCGCTAAGCAGAACTTTGATTTGAGGGGTGGAGTTAGGGGCTGGCAAAGGAGCAGGGATGGGAAGCTGTTATACACATGAATCATATTTCACTTATCATCTGACTCAACCAACCAGTTAAAACAAAAATGACCTTTTAGCAGGAATTGATACAGAAATGAGCTGGGCGAGTTAAGTTGTGGCATCCTAAGATCACAGAGTCACTCTTCTGATGAGCAGCAAACAATGTGGCCTCTTAGGGGTAAGAAACTGGTGAAAGGGAAGCCCACAGGCAGTGTGCTGAGTAGAGTGAAACATAGTTTCAAGAGCTTCCTGTACATAGAGTGTTTAGCAATCACATTATGACTTTATTACTCAGATTCATTGAAAACACTTGAAAAAAATTTCTGAGTGTGAACCCATCCAAAAATCTGTACCTTTTTCTCATTCACAGCTCTTTGAACAAGACTAATGTTATTTTGTGGTTATGTTTTAAAAGAGCAGTCCTTGTCTTTGGTAAGATGTACTTAGAATAATAAGATGTATCACTAAAAGAAGGATTTTTTAAAAATAATGACTAGTGAGGTAGAAAATGGGAAAGTATATAGAAGAAATTAGATTTGCCATAAATTGGTAATTATGGATACTGGATGAAGAGTACCTGGAGATTTGTTGTACTAAACCCTACACATTTAAATGTGTTTGAAATTTTCATAATCAAAAGTTATTTTTTAGAAGACTACCATTAGATTTCTAACAAAGCTGCATTGCTAAATAACAAGATTCTCTCTGACTTGCATAAATACTTATAATTTCTTACAGTAAATATATTAAGACCACTTATCAAAATGCAGCTAGCTAGGTACATGAATTATCTTTTTGATGAAAATGGGAACTTCACATACTCTTTTACTAGATCACACTGCTGAGAGCTGTAGACAGACGTCATATTTTTAGCCTTCTCTGGAGACTTCTCTGGAAGCCTTCTCTGGACATATAAGAGCTACTGTGCCCATGGTTGTGGGTTGGGAACCTCTAAGTGAACAAGATTGCATCCATACATCCTGAGCTTCTATGGAATCAAAAGCTCTAAAAAGGATTAACTACACCAAGAGTGGAATGAGAAAAAATAGATGACTATACTTATTCAGCCTCTGAATCTCAAATCCCACTATTTAGGTTACTGTTGCTGTCTATCTGTCCAGCTCAAGTGGAAGTCATATCTAAGCAGTGCCACTACAAAGACCTCTTATTAAATAGATATCCCTAAGAAAATTGGACCAAAAAACTTAACCTCCCACATGGATGAGAATAACAGCACCTTACCTGGTCTTTCTCTTCTAAAACATCCTTTATGTAGCTGTCAGTCATCTTTCTAAGAGAGACCTATGGCTCTCTAATTTCCACTCAAGAGACCTTCACTCAGAGAAAATAAAAACCAGACTCTTTCCGATCATTTTAAACCTCTACCACCACCTGACCTGCAATGACTTCTATAATAGCTATATCCCATTCTCCCGGTCTCTTTACCCATCCCTCTTCATTCCACCACCCTCTTAATCCCCAACTTTATTCTTGCTGTATTCATTTTCTATTGCTTCACAACTAATCACTACAAACTTAGAGGCTTAAAACAATATCTATTTATTATTCTATGGTTCTGTAGGTTAGAAGTCCAAAGCAGGCTTAACTGGGTTCCCTGTTTAGGGTCATTGGGGGTCATAGACTTCTGTCTACCACACCTGCCTCCCTGCCTCACCTAACAGTGTCACATCCAACAGAAATGAAACTCGGCAGAGGATTGTGTGCACTGATGCTTAGGGGTGGCTGTGTGCAATTCCTAGGGACAATGGAGACAGAAGCTAACAAAAGGTGGGACTACCAGAATAAAAAGGCAGAGCTGTGCCTGCAAGGTCATGGATTGACAATAAGAAACTAATCCAAAAAGTCTATGAGCAAGGACACTTCATATACTTCCCAGAGTATCCTTCACCATTTTAAAAACAGCCTCAGGCAGCTAAATGGTTCTCTTAAATATGTATAGTTGGGTATAATACTACAGAGTATTGCAATAATGTGTTAATGAATAAGGAATCTGAAGATACTAACTTCTAAGCCATAAAGTGCCAATCAAACCTAAACTATAATTATTAAAATGTTTCCTATTATATTAGTATTTTGTTATATAAAAGAATAATAGCTAATAGTTTTTGAATGTTTACTGTATGACAAGACTTATGCTTTCAAATGGATCATATCTCACAACAACCCTATGAAATAAGTAGTATTGTTATATTTCCATTTTACAGATAAAGAAACTGAATACCAGAAAATTTAAGGAGCTTACCACAAAATTATGCAGTCAGGAAGTGATAGAACCAAGATTCAGATGCAGGTTTGTCTGATGCCAAGCTGGTTAGTAATCATTATGTTACACCATGGCTGCTAAGAAAAGAATCAGAGACAGTTACAAAGGGAGAAAGGACCAGACAGACGGAGAGAACAAACACAGACCCTAGCTCTGGAGTTATTGAGTTGGGTTTACCAGTTAAGGTAAAATGCTTTGGTTACAACTTGCTTTTCACATATTTTCTGGGGTCCTTCTGGAATTCCCTGTTCTATATTCTTTATTTTCATAATCTTTCATAATCTTTGAAATGAAAATGATTTCTTGAGTATTTGCTTGTTCTTTGCATCTTTTCACTTTTTTTTCCCTGTGCCAAATTATCAAGACTACCTTCTGTAGCTGGGGCCAAGATGGACAACTGTTGTATTGATTAAATTGCTATGGATGGAAAAAAAAGATCTCATTGGAATCAAACCAAAACTGCTATGATGAGGTGTTCCTTACTTCCATATAAAGCAAGTTCATGAGGACATGGAGGGACAGATACAGTATGAAAGCAAACTGATGCAGCAGGGAAAGCTGGAGTGAAGAAAGAAGACAGGGAATTGTTATAAATGGGAATGGAGAGCAAGGGGAAAAAGCAAACTGATAAATGATGTTGGAAATTCAGTTGTTTATGGGGAAAGAATTATATCCTTACATCACAGAGTGATTTTAAATGTTGCCCTGTACATAATCACATCTGTCTTGTCACTATTTATTTGCCTATTCCTGTAACAATACCATACCATAAAGTTTTATATCATATTCTGATATAGGGTAAGTCCTACCTAATTGCTGTTTTTCTAAAATCTATTGGCTATTCTTTCATATTTTCTTTTCTGGATGAACTTTATTATCAGTGATCGAGCTTCATTAAAAACGCTATTACAATTTTAATTGAAATTGAAAGTGTATCAAATTAATTAATTTTTTGAATAATTGACATTTTTACACTATTCAGACTTTGCATCAAGGAACCTGGTATGTCTAGCCATGTGTGTTTCTTTATGTTCTTTCATAATTTTTGTGGTTTACTAAGTTTTAGTTTTACACATATTTCAAGTTTATTTCGAGATGCATAATAATTTTTGTGGTCATCATCCATGAAATTTTTTGACCATTATATTTTCTTTCTTTTTCTTTTCTTTTTTTTTTTTTTTTTTTTGACAAAGTCTTGCTCTGTTGCCCAGGCTGGAGTACAGTGGCCTGATATCGGCTCACTGCAACCTCCGCCTCCTGGGTTCAAGCTATTCTTGTGCCTCAGCCTCCTGAGCAGCTGGGATTATCGATGTGCACCATCATGCCTGGAAAATTTTTGTATTTATAGTAGAGACGGGGTTTTAGTATGTTGGCCAGGCTGGTCTCAATCTCCTGACCTCAGGTAATCTGCCTGCCCCAGGCTCCCAAAAGTGCTGGGATTACGGGTGTGAGCCATTGCCCTGGGCCTTGGTCATTATGTTTTCTAACTGATGGGTAGGATAGCTAGCTATTCAGCTACCTTATTAAATTTATTTATTAGATCTAATAGTCTTTGCCAGATTCTCTATAATTTTCAAGGCAGACAGAAGTGCTAATTTTGCAAAAGAACAAATAACATAACATTTATAATTCTTATTTCCTTTTCTTGTTCTTTGTGAGCTGGTCAATACGATATTTGCCATAATTTTCTGAATTGTACCCTTTATAAAGTAAAGGCAGTTTTCTTCTATTCCCTGTTAGCTAAATGTATTTTTAGTAATGGGTGTTGAATTTAACCAAATCTATATTGGGAATCCATTGAAATGATTACATAGGATTGACTGAACTGCCTTAATTTCTGGAGCTCAGGGGTACTCTTCCAGGCTTACTTGGTCATTGGCAAAATTAAGTTCCTTATGGTGGTGGGATTGAGATATCTGTTTCTTGTGGGCTGTCACATCGGGCCTCCTCTTACCTCCCAAAGGCCCTGAAGTTCCTTGCCATATGGCCTCCTTGCAGGTTCTCTCAAAGATCCTCTAACAACATGGCAGCTTGCTTCTTCAAAGCCAACAGGAGAATCCCTCACTCTTGTCTCCTAAGGTGGTCTTATATAATGTAAAGTAATCATGAGAGTGACCGTAATCTATTCTATTCTGTATCTATTCCTTATTCTATTCTTTTCTATTCGATTGTGTTATATTCATATTTGCTATATTCTATTGGCTAGAAGCATGTCACACAAGGGAATGAGAGTAAGTATTATAATTGTATATATATTTATATATATTTTCTTTCAATTTAAAAAAATGTCTCCATATTTATGATCGTATTCTTTCCAAAAAATTCTTAATGTATTTTATTTGTTCTTTTATTTTCACTTGAATTTGTCAGATTTTATATTCTCAAGGAACCAACTGTTTTTTTTTGTTGTTTGTTTTCTGTGTGGTTGATTTCTGCTTTATCTTCAGTCCTTTAAAGAAATTTTTTGATTTATCTAAACAGAAAGAAAAAAGCTGGCGGCAACATGCTACCTGACTTCAAACTATTCTACAGGGCTACAGTAACCAAAACAGCATGGTACTGGTACAAGAACAGACACATAGGCCAATGGAACAGAAAAGAGGAACCCAGAAATAAGACCACACACCTATGATCATTTGATCTTTGACAAACCTGACAAAAACAAGCAATGGGGGAAAGGATTCCCTATTTAATAAATGTTGCTGGGAGAACTGGCTAGAATATGCAGAAAATTAAAACTGGACCCCTTCCTTACACCATACACAGAAATCAACTCAAGATGGATTACAGACTGAAATGTAAAACCCAAAACTATGAAAACCCTAGAAGAAAACCTAGGCAATACCATTCAGGACATAGGCATGGTAAAGATTTCATGACGAAGACACCAAAAGCAATTGCAACAAAAACAAAAATTGGCAAATGGGATCTAATTAAACTAAAGAGCTCTGCACAAAAAAGAAACTATCAACAGAGTAAACAGACAACCTACAGAATGGGAGAAAAGTTTTGCAATCCATGCATCTGACAAAGGTCCAATATGCAACGCCTATAAACAAATTTACAAGAAACAAACAAATAATCCAATTAAAAAGTATGCAAAGAACATGCCCAGACACTTCTCAAAATAAAACATACATGCAGCCAACAAACATGAAAAAAAGCTCAATATCACTGATCCTTAGAGAAATGCAAATCAAAACCACAATGAGATAGCATCCCACACCAGTCAGAATGGCTATTATTAAAATGTCAAAACAAAAACAAAAACAAAAACAGATGCTGGCAAGATTGTGGAGAAAAAGGAACACTTTTACACTATTGGTGGGAGTGTAAATTAGTTCAACCATTGTGGAAGATAGTGTGGCAATTCCCCAGAAACCTAGAGGCAGAAATACTATCCAAGCCCACAATCCCATTACTGGGTATATACTCAAAGGAATATAAATTGTTCTATTATTAATAAAAAGACATATGCACATGTATGTTCATTGCAGCACTATTCACAATAGCAAAGACATGGAATCAACCTAACTGTCCATCAATGATAGACTGGATAAAATGTGGTACATATACACCATGGAATACTATGAAGCCATAAAAAGGAATAAGATCATGTCCTTTGCAGGGACATGGATGGAGCTGGAGGCCATTATCTTTAGCAAACTAACACAGGAACAGAAAACCAAATACTGCATGTTCTCACTTATAAGTGGGAGCTAAATGATGAGAACACATACACACATGGAGGGGGAACAACAAACACTGGAGCCTGTTGGAGGTCGGAGGGTGGGAGGAGGGAGAGAATCAGGAAGAAGATCTAATGGATACTGGGCTTAATACCTGGGTGATGGGATGATCTGTGCAGCAAACCGTCATCTAAAGTTGATGACTGTAGTGAACAAAACAATAAGCCTTCCAAAAATGTCTCTTAATCCCTGAACCTGCAAATGCTACCTTACATAGCAAAATGCACTTTACAAATGTGACTAAATCAAGGATCTTCAGATGGAGAGATTATCCTGGATTATCCACGCAGGTCCAATGTAATCATAAGGGTGTTACGATGGAAAGAGGGAGGTAGGAAAGTCACAGAGAAGGAAATGTGACAATGAAGTGATGCAACTGCTGGCTGCCAAGAAATGCGGGAAGTCTCTAGAAGAACCCCTTCCCCATTTAAAGTAAAAAAAAAAAAAAGGCATCCAGGAGGAATATATCTCTGCTGACACCTTGATTTTATCCTTAAAAATCTCATTTTGGACTTCTGATCTCCAAACTGTAAGATAATAAATTGTTTTGTTTTAAACCATTTGCGGTAATTTGCTAGCAGCAATGGGAAATGAATACAAATGAATACAATGACAAAAGTCATGAGTGCAGTAACCACAAAGCAGGCATCTGGGCATAATTGCTGGTTGATCATTCTAATCTCTAATCTGAGACCCAGTGTTCCTCAATATGAATACTGGATCTGCACAAAGCCTAGTTTGTTTTGGTTTTGAGTTTGTGGCACTACCCCCCGCTCCCAGTATTCTAGGTTTTACAGACCCAAAACACTGCATCACTATGAAATTGGCCAAACTTGGGAACCTTGTAAATTATTTCAGTTGGACTCCTACAAATTCTCTGGTTTCTAATCTGGAATCCAGGCCCTGGAGAGGTTCTCTCTGCCTGAACACCAGAACCTCTGCCAGAATAAGTCATTCCTCCATAAATCTGTTGTGCTCCTCACTAGTGGTTGAGATTTGATTGATGAAACCTCTGAGGGCTGTCCTGGGCCCCTTGAGCCAACTGTCACCTGGGTTTAGCTACTGTAATCCTTTGGAGAACGCAGAATGCTGTTGAATTATGTTCAAAAGAAGGAGTACCCAATGGTAAAAGTCTAGGCAGAGAGAAAGACATGAGGGCAGAGGGAAACAAAGTGGGGACTATTTCTGTGGCCAATGTCAGGCACAGGCAGGTGGCATTTTATGCCCGAGAACTAATGATTCCCACCCATATTCCAACCTTAATAAATCTAACAATACCACCACGTGTGCTGAGCACGTTAATCAGCAAATAAAAATCAAATTTAGCATTTTTTATTTTTTAAAAATTAAATTATTGAAGAACATGAGTCTTACCGTAATCTCAAATTTTTTTATCACTTTCATTCACCTATTCACCAGAGCTTCAGAATATGTGTCCTTTTTAAAACTGCTCCCTTCTCCTCTGAAAAATGAAAAACAATGCAAATATTGAACATCAGATTCTGAGCTGGGCATTGTACTAGACACATATTTTTAATCTGTGTAAAACCCCTTAGGTGATTACTATTATCCCAATTTTAAGATGAGCAAAGTGTGTTCAACCACATTAAGTTACTTGCATAAGGACTCACTTCTGGAAGCAGGGCTAGTGTTCAGGCAGAGAGAACTTGTCTGGGGTCTGGACTCCAGCTCAGGGATCCTACTTGTCTTTCAGTTCATTTGACCTTTATTTGATAATTGTTTAGTACCTACTGTGTACTAGCTGTTCAATGTGTTGAACAGTGAACAAAACAGACAAAGTTCTGTCCTCAGAATTTACATTCTAGTGTGTTGTCAAGACCCTGGGTTTATTAGTATCTTAAGATATTCAGCCATACACATGCATCATAATACTCCACTCAGATGGAAGCTTCATTCTAAGCAGCATCCTAGTTATACTTTCCTTGGGGATCTGACTTCAATCCTTAACATAAGCCCAACAGGAGTTCTTAAGTTCAGAGTTCCTGTTAATTTATATGTTTTGACAAGAAGAGCTGGAATTATGCATTTATGGTTCAGGTTTTATTTCCATGATTCCCAAAGGGTGACAGCCAATTGTGAGTTTCTGATGGAGTGCATCTGCCTTCTGTTTTGCAATTTGAGGGCCTGAGCAGCACTGGGCCAGGATCAGGCAAAGCAGCTGACACATGCTGGAAGCTCTTTCAATGTTGAATCCAAGCTCTATTGGAATGTGTGAATTCAAATAATTATTTCATATTGTAATCCCTACTGTCCTGACAGTCACTTCTAACATTACTTTTTCATACTGCCCGAAGTTCGGTGGAATTTCTATGAAAATGAGATTTTCACTTTTAAAATATTTTAACAGGCAGTGAGTCGAATTGCTACCATGATTAAAGCACATAGACATAATGAGGCAGATTAAAATTTCTTAGCACCCATAGAAATAGAAATACCGTGCCTAAAAAGCCCTGAATCACAAGCATGCTTAAAAGTATCAAAGATAGAAATCTTGGAGCAGCCTGCCACCTTCAGGATAACTTCCCAGTTAATGCTATCTGAGATCACTGATTTCAGCTTCTATAAATTCCAAATACCAATCCCTGTAAAAATGTTCAGTATAATTAAATAAAGGGCATTTAAATTAGAGTGGCTGAAGCCGTCTTCCTTGCAGTGCTTTTGCTCTGATTAAGCATTATACTTAATGATTACATTAGTTTTCTTTTTAAAAAACTTTCCCTTTCTTCATTTTGGTTCTTTGATTCTTGTTTTATTATTATTATTCTATTCGATTATCTTTACATCAATATTTTCTTACTTTAAGCTGGTTAAAAACATCCACTCTACTTCATTTTGCTAAGCAGAGATCAGAACACTAAAAATAGATTTTGCAGCCACAGTAAGAGAAATACTGTAACTTCCTTCCTACTGCTTCCTTCCTGGTGGGTTTTATTTTAGATTAATAACAATATTTCTAAAGGGTCTTAAATAAAAGCAGCACTACAGTAACCCATTCAGGAAATGGAGAGAGACGGAGAAGGTGAATGTAACACTCGTTTTTTTGTTTGTTTGTTTTTTTTTTCTGACGTCTTATTGTCTGTTCCTTTCATTAAATTACACAGAGGCTTAAAAAGAATGAAGAAGGCAAGAGAGAAGAGAAATAGGAGAGGGAATGACTCAGCATTTAGTAGCATGGAGAAGTAAATTAGTAGCAAAAATAAGATAAGGGAAAGTATAACTAAAATCGATACCATTAGGTCAAATGAGAACGGGATGTAAAAAATAATGGAAAAAGAATACAGTGGCTTGAAAATGCATCAGGCGGGGGGACAGGAAAATAAGAGGCATTTAAATGAGAGCGGCTGAGAACAAATACTCATCGAAAGGGAACATCCTTTCATTATTTTCCTTTCACAAAAGCAGGAAAGGGCAACTTGAGAGCCCAGTTTGACCCTGGTTCAGTAAGTTCCATTTTTATCGGCTAACTCTTTGGTGGCATTGCCCTGTGAAACAACTTCAAGGTCAACTTCCTTACGACTTTGATTTTCAGCTCTTCACTGAAACTTTGGAATCACGTGGAGTCTTATCCAATGCTGGGCCTCACTCCACAAGAATTAAATCAGAAAGTCTGGGGTAGGGCCCGGCACAGAACTTTACAGAGCTTCCCGGGTGACTCCCTCGGAGTTCCAGCGTTAAAAGCAACCGTGGGTCTGGGGACTTAAGCCCCGCCACCTCCCGCCGGAAGCGGCCCTCGTGGGAGCCGTCACTCGCCCCGAAGGGAGGGGCTCCCTTTTAAATGCCCTGGGCAGAGAAGCGGTGTGTGGCCTCCCGAGCGCTAGGGGGCGACGGGCACGCATTTAAGCGCCCGCGGCGGGGCTTCCCCTCACTTGTGCGCATGCTCCGGGTGTCCCGGAGTTGTCCTGCGCCGGTGTTCCCACGTGCGGCCTGAACCTGAGCGCATAATGTTATGAGGAGATGGGAGCACTAGTGATTCGCGGTATCAGGAATTTCAACCTAGAGAACCGAGCGGAACGGGAAATCAGCAAGATGAAGCCCTCTGTCGCTCCCAGACACCCCTCTACCAACAGCCTCCTGCGAGAGCAGATTAGTCGTGAGTGGTGCGAGGGCGTTTCGGGGCCCGGGGGCGCGGAGTCCCTGTGCTGCCCGGCTGTCCCTAGCGTGGGTCCGGAGGCCGAGGGATCGGCGTCAGCCTGCTCGGCCGCAGCCGCTCGGGTTGGCGGAGCGTTGGAAGGGGGAGCCGCCAGGCCGGTGACATTGAGACTGTCCTCCGCGCCCGCGGTGAGGTCGGCGGCCCCGCCTACTTCCGAGACCCAGAGGCAGCAGCCAGTGCTCCCGCTAACCAGGCCCTCGCCGGCTGCTGTCACGGACTTGATACAGGGAATCAAAATCCGAGAGGGTCACAGAGCTTTCTCTAGGGGTCTTCACTGGACGATGGACGCAGAGCCTGACCTGGAATTTTGATTTCCATCTAAAGTATTTTCCTAACAGTCCAAATGATTATGTTTATTTTTTAAAAAAATTAAAGTGGTTAGGCCGGGCGCGGTAGCTCAAGCCTGTAATCTCAGCACTTTGGGAGGCCGAGGCGGGCAGATCACCTGAGGTCAGGAGTTCGAGACCAGCCTGGCCAACATGGCTAAACCCCGTCTCTACAAACAATGCAAAAATTAGCCGGGCGTGGTGGCGCGCCTGTAGCCTCAGCTTGTCGGGAGGCTGAGGTGGGAGAATCTCTCGAACCCGGGAGGCGGAGGTTGCAGGGAGCCGAGATCGCGCGACTGCACTCCAGTCTGGGCAACAGAGCGAGACTCCGACTCAAAAAAGAAAATAAAAGAAAGCGTTTGTGTTAAGCGTTTAGGATATTACAGGAAATTTTCCTTGATTTTAATATTGTGACTTTTTTCCTTTCCTTAGTCTATCCAGAAGTTAAAGGAGAGATTGCTCGTAAAGATGAAAAGCTGCTGTCGTTTCTAAAAGATGTGTATGTTGATTCCAAAGATCCTGTGTCTTCCTTGCAGGTAAATGTGTGTTTAATTAAGTGAATACACAATTTACTTATTTTGGGGCTTCAGGAAAATGATTAAGTGTGGCAAGTAGTAAAAAGAGTGCTCTGCAAGTGTGTGTTGTGATCAATCTACACGCCTTGGCAAAGTTTAAGCACACTGGTGTAAGACAGCAAGACACTTATGCCTTGGTTCACTGGATATTTACCAGAATTCTAAAATAACTTGTGGAAGTATTGATACAAGCAACTGTGTGAATTATTTCATAGTATTTCAGAATTTGTAGGATTTGGTAAGGCATTACTTCCAGTGGTTGTCATTTGAGTGACAAAAGCAGAGCTTTAATATTATTTTCTCATTCTTCTGTGGATTGAGGTATGTTCTAATCTCAGAGACTCCTTTAGTAAGTGGTGTTGTTGGATTTTGTGGGGTGTTCCTGTTTGTTTTTTTAAGGATGTATTCAGATAGGATATTTAAAATTAGAAGGATCAAAGAATACATTAGGAATGGGAACCTATGTGTAAATCCATATTCTGTATTATGTAAGTCCTGGGCACAAGTGCTTTGTATATAGTGATGAACAAAACTAGTCCTTATTTTCACAGGGCCTATGATGTTGTGAAGGACACAGCCATTAAACAAATGAGCAACAATGTGACCATAATTATGGGAAAAGTACGTGCACTGCTGAGTATATTGGAGGGACCTCTTTGAAATGGGAGGATCAAGGATGGTTTCTGAGGAAGTGATAGTTATGTTCAGGCCTGAGGAGGGATCAGTTGGAGTTAACCAGATGAGTTTTTGGGGGCAGGAAGATTCTAGTTAGGGGTAAAGTTTGATTAAAGGCCAAGGAAGTGCCAACAACTTCCAGATTTTTTTTTTCATTCTAAAATATTCTGGTACTGTCCCTCTCTCTCTGGATATTTGCACAGATAGAATTATTAATATAATTTTCACTACAGAGGAGAAATAAAACAAGATTTGTTAATCGCTGCACATAGTAATTGTAGGGTTCAGTTATCACCACATGCTCACATGAAAAAAGTATAGGGTTAATGTCTGTGTTCTTACGTCATTTTAAAATAGGTGTTGAGTAATACTCCCCAAGTATTCTTTCTCTCATGTTACTTAATTATGCATCTGAAAATTCACTCTTGGGAGCAAAAAAAAATTAATGCTTTGTATGTATAAGACTCAGTTATACATATAATGCGTAAAGAGATACGTATATAGTGATATTAAAATTTCATGGGGACATTAGGAAAAGTCTAGATTCCTTAGGGAGAGTGATAATGAAAACTGGAATTGCCTTTTGTTTATGTTCTGTGTCCCTTTTTTTCCTTCGGGCAGTTCATGGTTGTGATGCCTCTAGACATCATTGATACTGTGCCTTTCATATGGCAAATAATTTATTTGTTGTCTGACTTTTTAACATATTTATTCAAAATTCTGTCAAATATTTCAGTCTTTTTGCCTTTTGTGGTAAAGGAATACTGGGCCCACTCTACCATCATATAAACTCTTCTGTATTTTCTTCCAGTAGTTTTATAACTACATTTTATATTAAAATCTTTATCTGGCATTAAATGTGGTCTTTGATGTGTGGAATAGATCAGTTGAACCTCTTTTCAAACAGATGGCTTGTTGTGTAAATATAATTTGTTGAAGAGCCCAGACCTTTCTCCACTTACTTAAAATGCATCTCTAGATACACATATGGGTCTATTTATGGACTCATCAGTTTTACTTATTTTTCTATTTATACACTAGAACCATAGTTTTAATTAATAGAGCTTTATAATGTGTGTTGATATTTCTTATAGTCTTCTCTCATTCTTTTAAAAAGTTTCTGGTCTCTTTTCACACATTAATATTTTTCCAGATGAATTTGAGAATGAAATTGTCAGGTTCTTTAATAAGTCCTATTTGGATTTTGAGTATAATTGAATGGGAATTTATGGATTAATTTGAGGAGAATTAACATTTTAATTATTAAGTCTTTGAGTGGTAAAGGGAACGTTGTTACTGTGATGGGAGCTTTTTTCACTTTAAATTTAAACTGTTTATTGCTGCTACAGTAGTCTTCCCTAATCAGCAGATAGGTTCCAAGACCCTCAGTAGATGCCTGAAACTGAGCGTAGTACTGAACCCTATATATACTGCTTTTTCCTATAAATATATACTATGATAAAGTTTAATTAACAACTAATAAAATGGAACAGTTACAACAATTTCAGGGTTCGAAGATTCATTCTTATTATCCATGTTAGCACTCTCGCCATATGATTTTTTTTCCTCATTAAGTCAATAACTTTTACCTTTTCACTTGAAGGAAGCACTTTATGGCTTCTCTTTGGCATAACTGAGTTGCCAGCATCACTACCCTTGTGCTTTGGGGCTATTCTTGGTAAAGTAAGGGTTACTTGGACACAAGCACAGTGATGCCACACAGTCTGATAACCAGAATGGCTACTAAGTGACTAACAGGCAGGTAGCCTGTACAGCATGGATACACTGGACAAAGGGAGGATTCACATCCTAGACAGGATGGAATGGATAGCGTAAGAATTCATTATGCTGCTCAGAATGGTTTGCAGTTTGAACCTTATGGATTGTTTACTTCTGGAGTTTTTCATTTAATATTTTTGGTCTGTAGTTGACTTCAGGTAACTGTAGATAAAGCCAGGTACTACTATATATCAGAAAGTGAGTGGTTTTTATAGTGTAGCTACCCACATTGCTAGGTTATTATTTCTGTTAGGTTTTCAGTTGATTCTCTTTTCTAAAGATATATCTATGTAGAATTAAAAACTTCTCTTTCTAGTATTTTTACTTCATTCTTTTATTGTGTTGTATACATTAACATGCCAGTGAAAGTAGGCATTCTCATCTGTTCCTTCCTTCCACAGGATGTCTCAAGTGTTTCAGCATTAATTATAATAGAATGATACTTGTTTTCGATTAAAAAATACTTATATCACGTTTGGGACATTTTCTTCTATTTTTAATTTCCTAAGGGTTTTTTTTTTTTCAGTCGAGAGGATTTTGAATCTTCTTAGATTTTTTTGTGTCAAATAATTATTTATTTTAGTATTGACTATTAATTAGAAAGGAAATCTGAATACAGATGTGCTTGGAGTGGAAGGAAGATCTACCTTACCTGGGAATAGGAAAATAGCTTTGAGATTTGGAAAGTGAAAAAGTTGAGAAGAGTGTTTCAGGCCTAGTTTGCAATATAAAGATACAAGAGTGTGTGATGCCTTTGAAGAATGGTTAGAGTTCACTGCAGTTATGAGAAAATGTGAAATGTGAATTTGGGAGAAGTGAGTTGGGATGGAGAGTGATAGGGGTCAGATCGTAAAGGCCCTTATTTTTCTTGCTAAGGAGTTTTGTTTTATTCTGAAGACAATGGGAAGTCATTAAAGAGTTAATGGTCAAAAGTGATGTTAGATTTGAAAGTAGCCTGGCGGGGGAACAAAGTGCATTTTATCTAATTAGAAGAGACCAAATAGGAGGTATTTGCAGTCATTTCTGCAAGAGACATTGGCTTGGACTAGGGTGATTTAGTAGTATGGGGGAGATGTGAGTGAGTTTGAGAGAGACATATGATGCAGTGTCAACAGGATTTGGTCATTGATTGGTGTAATGAGTAAGGGAGAGGGAGGTGCAAGTATAATCTCATTTTTGGCATGAGAGGTAGGTAGTGTTGGTCATTGAAATTGAGGATATGGGAGTAGAACTGGTGATAGGTTTAGTTTCAGATAATATTGAATTTGAGGAGCATGTAGGTCATTTAAGTGGAGATACCTGTTAAGCATTTGGGTTGGGAAATCAAGAAAAGGTCTTGGTTTACGATCACAGCTTTGGAAGTAATTAACTTGTAGGCAGTAATGGAAGTTAGAGGAGTGTGTGGGATTACTTTGGAAGAATGTGTAGAGTGAGAAGAAGGCCTGGGCACTCTTAAATGTCACACACTGACATTTAAGGGTAAGCAAAAGGAAAAGGGTCCATGAATAAAACCCCGAAGGACCCACTGAAAAAACCGATGGAAAACTGTGAGGGGGTGGCATGGAAACCAAGGGGGAAGATAGTTATAAGTACATTGGAGTGGTCAGCAGTGTCAGATGTAGTGAGATACTATAGTGAGTTCAAATGAGGTCTAAAAAGTGTCCTCTGAATTAAGCAACTAGGCAGTCATTAGAGATAGCAAGCATTATTTCTTTTAAACATTACCTGAAGAGAAGGAAACTGGTCATAAAAGAGGTGTTGGTTTTGGGTTTGGTGGGCATGTTAAAAAACATAGTAACTATAGCATTTCTATATTTGACCAAAAAGCAGCAGTAGGCACAGTGCAGTAAAAAAAGGAAAAGAAAAGAAAGAATGATAGGCATAGCTAGGAAACAAGAATGGAATGCAGAGCACACGTGCTGGGATTAAGCTGGGATGGGACAGATAGATGGAAGGATGGGTGTGCATAGGTTGTTTTATTTATACTGGAGTGTATTGGAGGCGTTAGTTTATTTTCTCGGGAGAAAGATCACTAGCAATATTTCAATTCATTCAAGGTGTTTGGGAGTACTGAGTATGAAATACAAAGCTGGGAAACAGAATAGATGTTATCAAGCCAGCTGTTAGGGTGGCATCAGAATCCTGCCCTTTTAAAACAGGTGCAGTTTTTAATAAATTATTTTCATTGTTCTTTTAAAACACGTGAAATAATGTGGTGAGTGGATGGTATACATTTGATTATTATTTTCTAGAGATGCCTACATTTCTTAATGATAGAGCTATAGTTATGAAAAGGCAATGTGGCAAAAGTACTATTAAACTATGGCTCATTATAATAAGAAAATGAAGTTTGGAAAATCGTATATAGAATTTGTGTTAATCCATTCTTGCACTGATGTAAAGAAATACATGAGACTGGGTAGTTTATAAAGAAAAGATGTTTAATTGGCTCACGATTCTGCAGGCCATACAGGAAGGATAGCAGCTTCTGCTTCTGGGGAGGCCTCAGGAAACTTATAATCATGGTGGAATGGGAAGCAGGCACGGCTTATATTGCCAGAGCAAGCAGAAGCGGGGTGTGGGGGAGGTGCTACACACTTTTAAACAACCATATCTGGTGAGAACTCTATCACGAGAATAGCACCAAAGAGGGAAATCCACTCCCATGATCTAGTCACTTTCCACCATGCCCTACGTCCAACTTTGGGGACTACAATTTGGTGACATGAGATTTGGGTGGGGACACAGATCCAAACCATATTAGTTGTTATTTGAAGAGGAATAGTGTAGATTTGAGAAGTATGAAAGTAGATGTCAAATCTTTTCTCTCATCCTAAAACCTTTTTTTTTTGATACTAGGTAAAAGCTGCTGAAACATGTCAAGAGCCGAAGGAATTCAGATTGCCGAAAGACCATCATTTTGATATGATAAATATTAAGAGCATTCCCAAAGGCAAAATTTCCATTGTAGAAGCATTGACACTTCTCAATAATCATAAGCTTTTCCCAGAAACCTGGACTGCTGAGAAAATAATGCAGGAATACCAGTTAGAACAGAAAGATGTGAATTCTCTTCTTAAATATTTTGTTACTTTTGAAGTCGAAATCTTCCCTCCTGAAGACAAGAAAGCAATACGATCAAAATGAAGAAAATCACAGAAATTTCCTATGTGTACTCCTCATCCCTCCTGCTGTATATTTTCTCATTTTTTGCGTAATAAATTATGTTAATTACCAAATATTTAATGCTCTCATTGTGAGGGCATACTCTTAATATTTATTGAGCTCCCTGACTTTTCAAGATTGCCATAGAATATCTTTTGTTTTATTTTAATTTGGTTTAGGCATATTTCATAAGTGCATGTCAGCATGACTGAGCACATCTGTACCTTTATTATGGTGAAAGAGTTAATTTGTTATTTTAGGCACATATACCAACTTTTAAATTGGTCATATTACCCCTTGGGAAATGTCCTGAATCCCTCAACTGAGTTTTACTTTCCAAGTTAGGTGTTTAGTTCATTCTTCTCATGCGATAGTGAAAGTAAAAGCTTTCCTGACCCTTAAGACTGACATTTTCTCGTTAGGGAAAGAGACTCGATAGCAGGGTAGACTAACAGTAGTTCCCAAATAAAGGCACACAGGAGAAAATGAATCAATAGAATCTAATTAAAATTACTACTCCAGGGAATAAGAAGTATTGAGGATTTATTTTATTTTGAATTGGTTTTAAGTATGGAATAATTGTCTTTACAGTTATAAAAAGTAATTAGTGGTGTTTACAAAATGTTGGGAATTTCTGCTTTGACAGATAGGTAAGTCCCATGGGAATTTCTGCTTTGACAAATAGTTAAGTCCCATGGCCTTCAGAGAGGCAGGAAGCAGAAACTTTCAAAAAAGTAACATTTCTCTGGATTTAATGTGGAAATAGAGAAAAATTTAAAGAATAATTAAAAAACCATGGTAGATGAAATTTGGTGATTACATATAGTTTCGGATGTTAATGCTAGTTGAGAGAAGAGAAAAAGATAGCAAGTAGAAGCAGAGAACAGGATCATTGGAAGGGACCTGAGAAATTGCCATTTCATCCATTTTAGCAAATTTAATTAGCATAGCATGTACCAGTACTAGGATCTTGAGTGAGTGTGTGAGTTTAGCTCTGCCTAATATATTACTACTTGGGGGATCTTTGGGAGACTATATCTTCTTGGAGATTGAGTTTCTTCTATAAAATAAGCATAATGCTACCCTAAATGTAAGGGTTATCATGAAGATAAATAATAAAGGACTACAAAGGACCAAGCAAATAGGAATTATTTTTTGCGGTGGAGAAACAAGTGCCTGGGGAGAATATATGACCGAAGATTCTGTAGTTTATGACTTAAACAGGCCCAGAATTTAGTTTTTCAAATCCTAGTAGTGTGTTTTTTCTGTCTTGCCAAAAAGCAGCACACCTCAAAGAAGGGAAAAGGTGTGAATTGTGGGTATATTAGGGTTATTAGTGCTTCCGAGGGAAGATAGGCATCACTACTTCCCAGAGATGCCCCTGGAAATGATATAGAGGATGTTGAAGAATTCAATGTGATGACGGAATGAGGCATTTGTAGTAATGCTGAGAACAGAAAAATGGACTAAGTGGAAAATTTGTAAGCATGACTTTGAATGTAGATTTGTTATGTGAACAAACTACCTAGTTTATTTTTAGTTCAATACAATAATTGTTTTAAGAAAACATGAAATAACTACTCAATATAAAATGCATTTTAAAACTGTAAATAAGTCAAAACTTTATTCTTTTTATCATAATGGTCACTAGCTGAGTCACAAATACTAGTACACTCTTCTGAGCCATCTTCTTTATTCATATCTACATTGTGTGGTTAGGCATCTGTTATGTGGTGTCACATGATAAAATAAAGAACTTCTTCCCATACCATTCATCAGTCCTATACTGCGTTTTATTATATACAGGAGAGCACTTGGTAGCAGTGATGTCAGAAAGTGCATGGAATTTAGATTCAGAAAACAGTTTAGATCTCAGGATCACCACTAGCCATGCCATCTAACATTTTAAAAGTAATTACTGTACTAGGGTCTGATTGAAGTGCTTTACGTGTATTAACTTGCTTAATATTTACCATAGGTACAAGGATAAGTAGCCATATTTTAGAAGCATAGAGAGCTTCAGTAACTTCAAAGATTACTTAGTAAGTGTTGAAGCCTGGATTTAGTCCTGTTAGGTTATTTTCAGAACCTTGTGCTTCTAACTGATACGCTAT